>NC_000001.11:211972465-212123980 GCF_000001405.40 Homo sapiens
TTAGGGAGGTTCAACTGGCATAATGCAAATATTCCAAAATCCAAAGAAACCTCAAAATACAAAACACTCCTGGTTCCAAGCATTTTACATTAAGGAATACTAAACCTACAACATCTTTTGAAGGTGGATAGCACCCAAAACTTGCTTCTAACTAATGGAATATGGCAAAAGTGATGAGATTTTGAGGATGTAGTTTAGGTCCCTAATGAATTGACTTTATATTAGTAGAAAGGGAGATCATTCTGAGTGAATCGGATCTAATCAGTTGAGGCCATTAAAAGAGGGTGAGAGATTCTCTTGCTGGTCTGGAAGAACCAGGTTCCACAAGTTCTTCAGGTGCAAGGAAATACATTCTGCAACAAATTCATGATCTTAGAACAGGACCCTGAGCTTCCTTGAGCCTCAGATATCTGAGACTGGCCCTCACAGACACCTTGATTGCAATTTTGTGATACCATGAGCAGAGGACCCAGCTAAGCCATGCCTGGACTACTACTGCTACTTCTCTTTTTTTTGAGACAGAGTCTCAGGCTGGAGTGCAATGGCACAATCTCAGCTCACTGCAACCTCCTCTTCCCAGGCTCAGGTGATTCTCCCACCTCAGCCTCCTGAGTAGCTAGGACCACAGGCGCATGCCACCATGCCTGGCTAATTTTTTTTTGTAGAGACGGGGTTTTCCAACATTGCCCAGGCTGGTCTCAAACTCCTGGGCTCAAGTGATCCTCCCATCTTGGTCGCCCAGAGTACTGGGATTACAGGCATGAGCCCCCACGCCTGGCCTATGCCTGGACTTTTCTGACCCACAGAAACTGTGAAATAATAAATAGGTATTGTTTTAAGCCACTAAACTTGTAGTAATTTGTTACACAGCACAGAAAGCTAATATAAACACTTTTTATAATTTTTATTCCTAAGAAATAAGACAACTCTATCATTAATCATTGTATTGAGAAATTAAACACCTAACTTTGCTATCGGGTCTCCATAAACAAAGAATTTTGAACTTCTCCTGTTTAGTGTGGCTGAAGCAGATAAAAAGCATGATCCTCAAAGCTGTACGATCTCAGGTATGGATCATTCACATCAGTAAGTTAAAAGGGGCAGCCCATGCTCATATTTACTCAGTTAAAAAGATAGAAAGCAATTGTCAAATCCACACTTACCAAATGAACAGGTTAAAAAATAAAAATAAAAAAAGTCCTCAAAAAAACCCTGAGAGTATACAGTACAATCAGAGTTCTGGGAAGTTTCCAACAACTCTGAGGATCATACTGCCTTCCCCTGTAGACTACACTCAAGTGAAGAATTATTTCCTGTTTTTCTTAATCCTAAAAACAGTGTTTGACACATACCAAGTGTTTATGATCTGTTGAATAAAATAACTCCATTTCAAAAGGAGAATATCTGAGGCCCAATGACCCACCCAAAGTCACGCTGTGTTAATGGCAGAACCAAGACTAAGACAAGGTCTCCTCTCTGTCAATCAAGTGCTTTCTTCCTGTATCAGAATTCAATCCTTAATTATTGTCAAGCCTCATTAAATACACATACCACACAAATCATTAAACAAGTATCAAATATTCAACAGAATTTTTCATAAAATTAATTCCATCTGCCTCACACTGTTTTGTAAGCCTGTCTGTTCAAAGTTCTTACCATTTATGGTACTAAATAATTACCAATTTTCTGCTCCACATAAACTAGAAAATGAAATAGTTCTATTGATCTCAACCAGTAATTATATTTTTTAATTTTCTGAGGCATTTATTAGCCTAATATAGGAAACAACAATCTCTTCCCAGAAAAAAAAAATATATATATATATATATATATATATATATATAAAATACTTCAAAATATATGTGCCTCACAGTAGTCTGAATATTCTCTTTAGTGACACCTGTTTTTTCTACTTTGAAACATTTCTTTTGAGATAGGCCACCATTCAAAATATTTTAGATATGTTATAAATGTACGTAAACAGGTACCAAAAGTTTTATGGTCCCATCTCAATATATACAATTTTTAAAGTCATGTGACAGTATTTTTAAAATGTTTAACGTTGATTATATAACTTCTTTACTTTTAAAGGGAAAAAGCCCTTGCATTAATACAAAAAATGCTGATTTTAGGGAATAGGTTCCTACTTAGGAATATAACTAATTTCAAGGAAACATAAGGATCTCTTTGCAACCCTTTCATTTTCTTGGCAGAGATAACAGAAATTGTAGCTAGCTAATGGTTAATGTGGAGTAGGAGGATACCACAGAGAGATACAAAGTGGGACACTAGAATCTTCGATAATTTCTCTTTATCTATAAAGCAAGAAACTTTAGTTACTTAGTCAGTAGCTGCCAGGTATGAGATGAGGTCAGGGGTTTATGTTTGATGGTGGTACTGATGCACACAGGCTGGAATCTTAGTCTGTAGAGGGAGCATCCTGTCTACACACCACTTACCCATTCTGCATGGATTCAGCAATCCTCTTCACATGTGGTACCCAGTTATTTTTAACAAGAAAGTGATAAACTTTTATCAATCTAAGAATGTTAAAAAGGGGAAAAGGTTAAGGGTTTATTTCCATGACCTATTTCATATCAGCAGGTTTCTCAAGTTAGTTGAAATAGGACAATCCAAAAAGAGAAGGGAGAGAACTCTCACATAAATCATCACCACCAAAGGTGAATTAAGAGGACTTACTGTTAAGGAAGCAATCCCTTTGTGATAGAATTTTAAAGATTCAGCAATGCAAGAAAGTGCTGAACTATAATTTTCCTCTTGCAACCCAGTGAGACACTGTTCTGCATGTGAAAACTCCTTCAAACTATTTAGCCAGAAGTAGAAATGTTCTGAGGCAACCTGAGTCAGCAAACTCTGATAAAGCTCTTTGGCCATGTCATGATTACCCTAAAAACAAAAAAAGAAAAGAAAAAAGAATAGAAGGAGCACACGGTGAGGTTCTTACATTTGAAAGAGTTGATGCAGCAGCTAAAAGAGAAACCCAAACCTTGGATAAGTCTGAACAATCATTCCTCATATTATGTAATTCGCTGAGACTCTGTCTAAATATTTCCTCAGAGAAAATATGCTGAGTTGCTTTTATGTAACATAATGCTTGAAATTCTTTACTAAAACAGTTCCGAAAGAGAAAATAAATGGAATCAACTATAAACCAAGTCTAGAACTTTAGCCCAAAATACAGGAAGTATAAATACTTTTTTATGTTATTCTAGATGAACTATTTAGTGGGTGAGAGAAACCCCAGGGGAGAAGGCATAGTTGCAGGGAGAAATGTGAATACCATTTAATGCCTGGGGCCAGGGATACTCAATGTCCTGCAGTGCTTGGGACAGAACAGTATAATGAAGAATTGTCCTGCCAAGAGTGTGTGCTTCTCCCCCATTTGAGAAGCAACATAAAATTAAGAACATGCACTTCAATCACCTAGAGTAATGCTTCCTCAAACTTTGGTCTCTGGACTTATCCCCAAGGTTTTTTTTTTTAATTTATTTTTAGTAGAGACAGGCTTTTACTATGTCAGCCAGGCTGGTCTCAAACTCCTGGCCTCAAGAGATTTGTCCGCCTTGGCCTCTCACAAAGTACTGGGATTACATGCGTGAGCCACCCCACCCGGCCAGGATTTCTGTACTAACCAAGGTTTCTATTTCCTCTCAAACAAAATTAATAAAACTTGTTAGGCTTTCCATATGGCTGAGAAGAGTACAGCATACTAAAGCTTTCCCATTTCTACTTAAGAATGACAAGACTGGGGAGAGGAACAAAGATGTGGTATACTGAGAAAGGAAGATAGAAACAGCGGGTGGTAGGTGGCCTTGGTTATAACAATACAGAGCAAAATGAAAGTGGCACTAACAACCTACAGCCAGAAAGGGTCCAGATTTTAACTTCCTCATTACTAATGCCAACAACATAGATACCATTCTTTTATGATAAAAGTTAAAAATCAGGTCCTTTCCTTCCTCATCTTCAGAACCCATGACTAAAAGGTACTTCCATCTTTATTTTTAGTTTTGACTACAACTAATAATCATACAATTGAAGATACATGATCTGACATTTCCAGCAACCCAGTTCACTCAGAAGGGTAACACATACCATTCTGGAAGCCTGTCTGGCAATACGGTATACAGTCCATCCATTGGAGACACTTTCAAGCTGCTGCTTAATTACTGCCTTACTTTCCACAGACAATGCCTTCTGACTTGCAACAAAAATCACAGTAGCCAAACTCACCTAACATTGGGCAAGAAGAAAACCAAGAAAATCATTTAATTTTATTCAGTGTCATTGATAACCTACCCCAAAGGGAGGAAAACTAATTAGAGCCCACTGCAAAAGAACAAAATTTGTTTTCCAATGACATTTATTTAATTTTTTATTTTGAAGTCATTAATTTATTCCATTCACTCAGGGCACTCTTTATAACAGCAAAGAAGTAGAAGCAATACCCATAATATGAATAAATTATATAACATAATCAAACAATGAGATACGTAAATAAAATGGATAAACTAGCGACAGACTTACCAACATAGATGACAAGCAAAATACGCAAAAATATGCAAAATGCAAAAGATTACAAGTAGTATGATAAAGTTTACATAAAATTAAAAATATGCAAAATACTGCATATTACTTAGGGATATACACTTTGGTAGTAAAAGAATAACAGGCATGAGAATGATAAATACCAAATTCAGGATAGTGGTTACCTGAGAGAAGGGAGGAGATGCTATCAGCAAGGTAAACAGGGGGCTTCAACTAAACTGTTAATACCTTTTTCTTAAGCTAGATAATGAATGCAAGAGTTTTCACTGTATTATTCCTCAGATTTTTTGAATATTATGTTTCATAATTTAAGACAATCTTAAGGTAGTACTCACAAAAAAGATATCAGGACCGTTAGTTCAAAATGCCACTTCAATAAAAAATAAACTTAGCTAACTGCCTCTTAATATTTCAAAGCTGATTCATATAAAGATCCATACATTTGGTCATCAAGGTAACCTTTTCTGGCAGCAAATGATGGGATGGGGTCAATCTTTTACACAATTCCCTCTGGAGGATTAAACATAAAACAGGCTTGAATAAATTATTTCATTATATTTTTTCCCACATTCTAAATTAAGATGAACAGAACAATATGGAATGGCAACCTTACAACTTTCATTTAATTTACAATTATTTAGAATGTAGCCTACTCTCAGTCCTGCAGAACTTTTCAACTAAACATTTTATAGCTTCCACAGCTTCTGTTTCTTTCTAAGCATGTACCTTTCCCAACCTCAAGGGTCTACAGAAGCCTAAACTGGATCCTAAACAGCTAAAGAGGTCCTGGAATGGAAAACATAAATTTGGGCTAATTTATGGTCATTATTATCATTAGATTTTTAACTTCTATTTTCTAAAGTACAAAACAGGGTTTAGTTCATTATTTACTCTGTATAAGAAAGATAAAAATTTCATTTTCATTCTGTCCTTTGCAATAAAAAAAAACATGAGATTGAAGGCTTTGGCTATACTAGGCTGATTTGACAGGGTTTCGGAAGAAAGCAGTTTTAGAGGTGAACAAAACACGGCTTTCTAAATCAAAAGTGAAAAAAGTAAAAAGCTCATAAAGCCAATTCTATTTTGACATCAGCACACTCTTTGGTCTTAGGTAATGAATTTAACCTATTGTTTGTTCTGTTTTTTAAGTAAAGTCAAATAGTAATGTTGACTTAAAAGTAATTCCCACTAGACCAGATCCTAGTCATTCAAAGGAGATTCAAAATGGGCTTTTTACCAGAAGTTCTTGTTGCTTGTCTGTGGCTGATCGTCCAATCACCTTGTACAGCTCCATGAGGTCACCAAGCATCCCATCACCCAGCACCGGCAGTTGCATGGCAATGGCTGCCAGGCAATGGCACATCAAAATCCGGGCAGCGTCTTGAGCACTGTGCAATTGAGTCAACAAGGTCTCAACTACTGACTGGCTAAGATGGGGCCTGCCCTTGGCCAACTTCACCATACAGTTTAGAGCAATCTGCACGCCAAAAAGAAAATGAACTAGTTACATTTTGAAGATACAGATGAAGCTTTAAGGAAAAGAGCTTTGTACAGGTTACTGGGGAAACTCAAGGGTGAGGTTTCTTGTAGGCATAACATTTTACTTCATAAGAAATATGAGGTACTGAATCTCACATTAGGGTTTGTGAAGTGCACTACGTTTAAAATAACAAATTAGGACTGCACGTCAACCACTCATTTCAATCTAAGACTATTAAAATACTTTTAAGAAAGATGGAAATCATAAGGAATAATGCTGAAGAGGCAAATATAGGCCAAATGTCACCATCACTGTATTATCATTACTTTTCAGGAACTGCTTCTGAAGTGTGGCTTGTAAACTATGCCAGCATCTCCCAGAATGAAAATAAAAATATAGATTCCTGAATTAACATACGTGTGTGTGTGTGTTGAGGCTACTGAGGTTTCACAGTTTTAAAAAGACGGCTTAGATGACTCTAAGTACACTGAAGTGGGAAAGAGGTTCCCAATTTTCTCTTATTTCTCAACTGAAATCTAAAAACCAATTTGGCTACAGAATTTCTCTTACCAAGGCCTTCTTAAAGGCATCACTAATATCCAGCCAAAAAACTAGAAACCTAGAAATATTCCCACTTTTACATAGCTAACAGATTCTTTTGTCAAGCCTCCAATATCCACTGTTGGCACTTTTCCATTCTCTCTACCACATCATAAATCTCTTCCTAATTCCAATTTCTTGAAAAGATGGGCCCTTCAATCCATCCTTCACAATGCAGCCATGTAGCCATCAGTGGGGTGTCAGGCACACACATAACTTTAGAGTCTGATAAATGCAAGGGCTGAAGCTCAGCTTGCCCCTTATTAGCTAGGTGGCTTTGAACAAGGTACTTCTCTCTCTCGGCCTTAAGTTTCTGATGTGTATAAGAGGAGAACACATTTCATTATAGGGTTATTGAAGGACTGAAACAAATGTATATATAAGTCTTCAACAAAGATTGGCACATAATAGACATTCAAATAACAATAATAATTACGACAAAGGTTACCATTACTTTAAAATTATATTATCTCCTCATTACCTATAGAATCAAAGCCATAATACCATGTTATTTGATATCCTCTATGACTGAACTACTTTTCCAAATCTCAAATTATTTCACCCAGCCACAGTGGGCTAGTCACCATTCTTCCACCACAACAGGTACATTCTTACTTTCAAGTCTTTTATAACAGCAGTCATTGGGCTCAAACAATCTTTCCTCATTACTGTAATTCGATTCCATCTTTCACAACTCAACTCATATGACATTTATTTAAAGTCTTCCCTAATACCCTTGGTTAAAGTTAATCACTCCCGACTCTGACCTCTCATTAGAACTGCACTTTTTTTGTGAAATATCAGAGAATGTATTGTGTTCCGCTTGGTATTATAGTCCCCTATATAAACATCAGTAGCCTATTCTAGATGGGAAGCTCCTCTATTACAGGAACCTTTCTTGGCCATCTATGTATGTCCCACTGTGCTGAATCCAGCATTTTACTGACACCCACAATTGTTGGAAAAAAGATTTGCTTTTAAAAAAAGTCTTAAATGTACTGTGGTTCCAAGGGGATTCTGAGGATCCCCCTCAGAATGTGTTGCCAAACACATGTTGTCTACTTCCCTTCTCTACTTCTTATTAGCTGTCACTTAATGATGTTACTATCTTTATTGTTCATCACTATGACCATATCACAACTTTCCTTAACCTGCTAAAATGAGCCATGACTTCCTTGAAACCACACCTTAGACAAGCTAACGCCAATGTTTATCTAACAGTTTCTTACTTCTATTAACTATGCTTCTCCTCATTAATTTTGCACCATCACAAATTATATTTCACGTTTCACTCCAAAAAGAGTAGTTTCATTTCACATTTTATTTATTTATTTTTTTTGAGACAGGGTCTCATTCTTTCACATAGGGTAGAGAACAGTGGTGCAATAATGGCTCCCTGCAGCCTCAACCTCTCGGCCTCAAGCAATCCTCTCACCTCAGCCTCATGAGTAGCTAGGACTATAGGTGTGCCCCAATATGTCCAGCTAAATTTTAAAAAATTTTTCTAGAGATGGGGTCTCAGTATGCTGCCCAGGCTGGTCTTGAACTCCTAGGCTCATGCAATCCTTCCACCTTGACCGCCCCAAAATGCTGGGATTATAGGCATGAGAGCCACTGTCCTGGCCTCATTTCACATTTTAAAAATCTTGCATATCTCTAAGATGATTTCTGTAACTAAGTGAAGGTGAAAATTCCTTAAAATATTCTTCCCTTGGCTTATAAACTAGGGCTTATACCACTGGGAAATTAATGAACGCTTATGTTAAATTAATGAACATTTATGAGTCGGCTGCAGTCATGTCATCAGTTTTTTTGTGGTTTTATCAGTTAGATTAAATCAGTGTAGTTTTATCAGTTAGATTTAATCACTTAGATTAAAACTTCTAAGAGTACAGGAGCTATGTCTGCTTAACTTTGCTTTCTATTGCCTAAGACCATCATATATATCTATTACAACTTAATAAATAAAAGTTTTCACCTTTAAAGTGGCCTGAGCACCTGGACTATCATCTTGACTACAAAGTACCAGTAGGGATTCCAGGCCAAAGACAGCATCTTGTTCCAGTGCCAAAAGATCTAGAAGAAAAACAGTAAACTTTATGATGGTCAAGTGATGTGTGTACAAACACACACACATATACATGCATACACACTCTCTTAGAAAAAACATTAAGGAGTTTAAGATATAGGGAATTATTAAATGGATGAACCTAACCTTCCTTGAAAAAGTACATGTGGCATTACTTCTAGAATGTAAAGTCTATCTTCAGACTTTATTTCTACCACTTTATTGAAGTATTTATAAAAATATACACATTAAATCAAGAGCTAAAGCCACAAAGCTATAAATAAAGCAAAACTGAAATAGTGTCACCAGCTTAGCTAAGGAAAATACTAAGAACAGCAAACTATGCAGTATGTGTTAATCTCCCTAATCAGAAATAAATTATGCAGGTCCATTTTTACCTAAGATATAACAGTTTTCAGCTTCTAATGAAAGCTGAACCACTTTTAGGAAATAATAAGGTCTCCACATAACCTTATTACTGTTTTAAGTCTGACCATAAAGAATGAACCTCTTAGATGTCTCATGAAATAGCAGCACTAGAACATCTTTTCACTACCATAGGGTTAAAATTTCTCTGAAGGTTTTAGAAAGTTCTGAATATATTAGTTACCTTTAGGTTAATATATTTCAGTGTTGAGAACATACAGCAGTTTTCTGTGTTACATGGAAGAAAATACTCTTTGTGATGCCAATATAAAACAGGCTTAATTATCCAAATCAGAATCAACTTTCAACTTTAAGAAATGTTTCCTGAGTGCAGGAGCTTGGCAAACAGAGTAAAGGCTAGTGAAGGTCAGGTTGCTAGAAAAAAACAGGTACTAGGAACAAGCAGTGCTGAAGGCTAGGGGGGATAAGAGGAACCACTGAGCTTGTAATCCTTAATGAAGATCAAAATCAGCACTGAAACAGATGGAATATCCAAAATGCATTTCTTGTTCTTGAACACAAGTCAAAAGATGTTAGGTAGACAACAAAATATGTGCATTATTTTCCTTGCATGTCCTCCTTGATTATGCAAGTCAGTTTAATGCCACATATACCTAGAGTAAATTCTGTGAAAATTTAATTCACATTGGTCTGTGAATTCACTTGCCTCTAGGTGAAACTATTTGTTATTTAAGTCCCTGGAGAACCTAAGTAAATTTTCTAGGTTTTTGTATAAGTGAACATACCACCTTATACAAAAGGGGTAGAGTCCTAAGCAATCTTTATCCACCATATATGCACCATATATGCAAAGGTAAGCAGTGGAAGGAAATGGGCAATGCTCCATAAAACCTTTCAATTCCACTCCCAAGGTCTTCATCTCTTTATTATTTTTCACAAGGATAAAGTAGTCTTAAGAACACATGCTCTAAGAACACTTTGAAAGGAGTCAATTTGTAGATCAAGGCACACAGGCTAAAAATAAGGGATTAAAAAAAAATCAAACAGAATTCTGTCCAAGGTCTAAACCAAAGTTTATACGTAATATCAGTCCTGATCAAACTTACCCTTTTCTTGACAAGAAACAGTTATATTAGTTAGGACTCTAACTCCATGAGCTGCAATGCCCCTGTTATTATGGTAACAGCACTCTTGGGCTAATTTGACTAAATCAGAAGATCTGGGAGAAGAACTCACATTTCCTAAAAAAGCAGAGAAAAGTAGTAGAAATTGTAATTCAAATAGTTCAAAAGCAGTTCAGCTCATAGGTTCAATTTTCTTAATTTTTGAGAAAAGTCTCTAACAATAAACTTCAACAAAATTTCCTACCACAATCCCACTATCAATACATATCAGCATTTCTCTCCATTAAGGTACTTGAAATAGGTATGTGCCAACAGTTTCGTAATGACTAAGATCTAAAATCAACGTATAATTTCTTAAAAAATATTAATAAAAATTGACTAACAGTACAAAAGCCAAAACAACTATCCTAAGAGTTCAAATGAATTCTGATTAAAACAGGTATCATTATAGGCCTCTTGTCAGACAAAACCATACTTTCAAGATAGGAGAGAAAAGAGAAAAAAATTTAAATTTGCTTTTTTTTTCCATCTCAGATTGCTGACACACATTTATACCTCATATGAATTCGTGATTGTAGAGCTGGAAAGAATTTTGGGATCATCTGATTTAACACACCCTATTTTTACAGGTGGAATCAAAGCCCAAAGCCCCAAAATTTTAAGAATCTTGCCATTAAGTTCATAAAACTTATCAGTCATGTTCTAATGCCCCTGTTATTATACTCTTCTGCTTTATACCTTAAATTCCATGCTATAGATTGCAGCAATTTTTAAAATTCACATTTGAAATTCTGGAATGCAAGGTTCATGTTGTAACTATTGTAATTTACAGTAGAGAAGCCCTCAGTTATAACTGAATAAGCTTCAAGAAAACAAGGAGATTAGGGCTTGTTCAACTACTTAAAAGAGTCTCCCATTCCTGTCTTCTTTTCCTCTGCTTATTTTTCCATGATTCTCGTCAACTTCAACTTTGTTTCTCATACCAAGGGTGACCGTATTTTTTGAGGCTGAAAGAGACGCTACTAAGAATTACAATAGACATAAACCATGAATATCTGTGGTGACATGGGACCTATGGTCACTTTGTTGATTTCTGGTTTAATATAATACAAGTTTAAGAGAGAGCCTCAGTGTTTTTTGGGTTTTTGTTTGTTTTGTTTTGTTTTTTTTTTGAGACAGAGTCTCACTCTGTTGCCCAGGCTGGAGTGCAGTGGTGCGATCATGGCCTACTACAGATCACAGCTCACTATAGTCTCAAACTCCAGGACTCCAGCGATCCTCCCACCTCAGCTTCCAAGTAGCTGAGAATACAGGTGCATGCCACCATACCTGGCTAATTTTGTTATTTTTTTTTGTAGAGATGGGTCTTGCTTTGTTGCTCAGGCTGGTCTCAAACTCTTGGCTTCAAAAGATCCTCCCATCTTAGCCTCCCAAAGTGTAAGCCACCATGCCTGGCCCCTTCAGTGTTTTTAAGTTAGGCAAAACATTAGAAAGATGAAACTATATCTTTATTTTTTCAAAACTGTGGAAATTGTATTTCCTCTATTCTTTTTGTCCATGTGATATGGACAATGCGGAGTCATCTATAAATTTACAAACATGTTTTATAACTTGTTTTTTCTTTGTTTTATTCCTACCAACACTCACCATAGAAAACTCAGAAAAAAAACCCAGAAAAATCCAAAGAACAATACAAAAATCATACCAAATTTCACAAACCAGCATGACCTTACTGTTAATTTTCTGAAATATTTCTTTTAAATCTTTTTCCCCCTATGTACAACAGTACAATTTAAAAACTCACATATAATCAGGATATGTAGATACTGGCCAATATTCTGCTTTTAAAATCTAATATTTCTGAGCCTTTTCCTATGTTTTCTAGGAATAAGATTATTTTTAATTTAATTTTTATTTATTTAGTAATGATTTTCTAAGATAAACTCACAAGGCTTACAAGGTACAACAAAGAGTAGAAAATGGTAAAAGGCTAGTGAGAGAAAAGTTTTCCTCCCCCACCCAATGTTATCAGCTTCTTGTGTATCATTCCAGAGTCCATAAATTTACAAGCACATTTATTCCTTTCTTTCTTTTTCCTTTTCACATACTGTTTTCCATCTTGTTTTATTTCTCTTTAAATATTGTATCATGGAGACTGCTCCGTGCCATATTTTCTTTTTAGTAAACTGCATTGATTTTTATTGCAGTGATGTGTCATAATTTCTTTGAGTCCTCTATTGATGATCTTTTAATGCTATTACATCCTCTACTAAGAAATAATATTTTGCTATTATATAAAATGGTGCTCAGAATAATCTTGTATATATGCCATTTCTCAATGTGTGACTATGTAAATAAGATAAATTCCTAGAAGTGGAAAGTCTGGGTTATCTGTAATTTAATGAGTATTTCCAAATCATCTATGTACAAGTTTAATAATTTATATTCGCAGCAGTAATGACTGCTTACCCACACCCTTGTCAACACACCATGTTTATCAAACTTCTAAATCCTTGCCAATCTGATGGATTAAAATTATTTCAAGTGTTGTTTTAAGGTGCCTTTTTCTTAAATATGTCTGATATTGAACATCTTATATATTTGAGCCATTTGTTAGTGATGATTTAGACATACTAAATTTAAGTTTGCTTTTTAAACTACTTTTGGCTACATTGAAAAAACATAATAAACGGAAATAAAGATTTACCATTATTTATGGAAATAATGTAACTTTGGAAAATCCTTGATTTTATTTTTTATAAATATTATCTATTTATTTAAGCCTTTGCTTAATTCCATATATAAGCCAAAATTAACAAACTTCAATAAAAGGACAAATACCTAGCTTGAAAAGTGTTTAAGTATTATAACCCAACATAATGCTAATACATGTCTTTGGAATTAAAAAATAAAGAAAAAGAAAGTTATTGTGCATGTAAGTCAGTTTGGTACAAAAAAGAGAATTCTGAGTCAGACCGCTGAGTTCAGGCCTAGGCTCAGACACTTCACAACTATGTGAACTTTGGACATACCGTCAAACCTTTGTGAGTCTCAGTTTCAATACTTATAAACTCCTTTGCATATGCCTCACTTGAAAGGCTACTTGTATGGGAAAGCTCTCATCTATTATATGATTAAGACTTTGTCTATCACAGCTCTTTCAAAGTGCAATGTTGGTGAAGGATGTTAACTGCAAGCTAAGAAACACACTGGGTGATTTATGCAGAAAAAGAATACATTGAAAGCACCCTAGGTATATGGTACGTTGTTTATAAAGAAGGCTGTGATAATTTCTCACATCCCTTGTGGACATGCTCCTTTACCATGTGATCTTCCAATTCCATGTGACTTGCTTTGGCCAATAAAGCATTGGAAAACAGGCTGCAAGCAAAAGGTTGACAAATGCTTTTGTGTTGGTGGCTTGCTTTCTTTTGGCTCCAACCAACATCCTGAAAACAAACCCAAGTTAGCCCACCAAGAGTCACATGGATAAAAACTAAGGTGCCTCAGCAGAAAGCCTTTCAATTTCTAGCATGTGAATGAGGCCGTCTTAGACCATCCAATCCTGGTCATACATGACCATAATCACACAAGTGACCCCAAGTGAGGCCAATAGGACTGCCCACCTGAGTACAGTCAAAATGGTTGATTGACATAATTAGAGCAAATAAAAAGGTCATGGTTTTAAGCTACTCGGTTTGGGGTGATTTTGTTATGTAGCAATAGATAACTGATAATGTACTTCAGAGAATCACTGGAAAGCCTGCAAAACTAATAGAAAAACAAGGTCAGAAAATAAATAAGAAAAACGCCAGGGAGCAACCAAGACCACAGCCCAAAAGACCATGCATGGAATTAGTCCAGTGAGGACACAGCAGCCATTGTTACTGATTATTTCATGTCACAGCTTAACTTCTGTTACAGGGTACCAGACATAGCAAACACCCACTGCTAGAGTATATTCTGGAAACAAATGTTGCTCTGTCATTGCTACATCACCATATCCCCATTCTCTCATATCCCTACTTTCTTGTTGTTACTGGCTCCCAATTCAGTCTGTGGCATGGAAATGATTAGTTGAGTCCAAGCCACATGTAAGCACACTAGCTGGAAGGGAGGTGTGACAACGGAGTATCAGGTCTTTTTAGCTTCCTATTAAGACTTACGTGGCAGGGAATTCCCTACACCTAGAAAGTATCATATACTATGCGGCCATAAAAGGGACAAACAAATGTACATTACAGTTCTTTAATTCAAACTAACTGACTACAAAAGGAAGCAATAGAGGTTCCGCAAAACTTGCATTAAAACAAAACAACCAGCCTGGGCACAGTGGCTCATGCCTGTAACCCCAGCACTTTGAAAGGGCAAGGTGGGTGGATCACTTGAGGCCAGGAGTTTCAGACCAGCTTGGGCTGAATGGTGAAACTCCATCTCTACTAAAAATACAAAAATTAGCCAGCCATGGTGGCGGGCGCCTGTAGTCCCAGCAACTCGGGAGGCTGAGGCAAGAGAATTTCTTGAAACTAGGAGGTGGGGGTTGTAGTAAGCCAAGATCCCCCCACTGCACTCCAGCCTGGGTAACAGAGTGAGACTCTGTCTTAAAACAAAACAACAACAACAACAAAAAAAAACCCAAAATGACAAAAAAGTTTAGCTTTAAGTCTGTTAGGTAAGCAAGCTCCTTACCGGGCATTAATGAAAGCATTTTAGAGTTAATCATCTTGAATAGGTAACTAGGAAAGTGTTATTGGGCTGGAGTCAAGTTTTATTTTAATTGTTTTCCAGAGAAATAATATGCACCTAAAAGGAAGCATATGACATTTGCTTTTAAAACTCACTACTACTTGACCTTTGAAATGTACTTAAATTCAAAGGGCACTTTGAGTCAGAGATACACAAAAGCAAACCAACTATTTTAAGCATCCTCAAAAATATTTTCACCCACATATAATTCAAAAAAAAAAGGACAAACCTAGAAAAATATATTATTGACTTAAGATCAAGGATGCGAGATGTTGTTATCATAGGCATTAGTTAAGAAATCATGTTCAAATAAATCACTAGCATGCAATGGAGTATGAGATTTTTTTCCCTGATGTTAAAGCTTTATAGAAGAAACAACCTGAAACATAAATATGGATAAAGGAGTTAGCACATTATTTATATGGTATCTCCTGTCTTTTCCTTACCTGGAACTATACTGAAGTAATGTTTGATGGCGATGGTCCCTGATAGTGTGGAAAGGACAGACAACATCCCTAGTTTTAAGCTGTCATAAGGAGTCTGGAGGGCACACTCACAAAGTGCCTGGAATGCAGAAGAGAAATGAATATAGAAGTTAAAACATCAATATACTTCTAAACTGTCTACTCCATTTACATTTTCTGGCTTTTAGAAAAATTATATATTAAGGACTTTTTTTCATGTTAAAAAACTTAAATCGAGGCCAGGTGCAGTGGCTCATTCTGGTAATCCCACCAGTTTGGGAGGCTGAGGTGGGAGGATCACTCTAGCTCAGGAGTTTGAGACCAGCCTGGGCTCAAAGTGAGGCCTTGTCTCTACAAAAATTCGAAAAATTAGCTGGGTATGGTGGTACGTGCCTGTGGTCCCAGCTACTTGGGAGGCTGAGGCAGAAGGATCGCTCAAGCCCAGGAGGTCGAGACTGCTATAAACCATGTTCACGCCACTGCACTCCAGCCTGGGGGACAGAGCAAGACCCTGTCTCAAAAAAAAAAAAACAAAAAAAGCACTAGGTCAAACTTCCAAACTCTTTAGGGGAGCCTCAGGAGGCAGGATAACTAAATGTAAACTATGTTGATACATAAAAACGACACTAGGGAAAAACTAAAGAATTATGAATAAAGAATGAACTTTGGTTAATAATAACAATGTATCAATATTGGTTCATTTATAACAAAAGTACTATACTATTGTAACATGTCAATAATAGGGGAAATGGTGGGGGAATGTGGGAACCCTGTGTACTATCGTCTCGATTTTTCTGTAAATGTAAAACTATTCTGAAACCCCCACCATATTTTGCTTAGGAGAGATATGAATATTATTTCATATATGTGTAATTTTTAAAAATAACAGGGAATATGGAATTCTATCTGGTTTCTAAGTGAACAGAGCTATCTTCCTCCCATTTCTGGCATTTACTCTACTCTTGACCAGGTAGTTTGAAGTATTACCAAAAATAAGATGCTAGTTTTTCTTTCAATGCAGTGAACTATGAATACATAATCACAGTACAGTGACTCTTGCCTTATCCTTTATCACATGATTCTGTATCATATAACTGCATGTAATATAACAAGTCAAATAACTGTTTTGTTAAATTAATTTCCATTCTCCCACAAAGATAAAGGTTCAGAAAATAAGCAAAACTTAAAGTCTAAGGAAAAAAGTTAAAAATAACATTTCAGAAAGGGTTAAAATAAATTTAATATGACCATCAATAAAATTGTCAACAAAACTGCAGGATGATTTAGATTATCTGATTTTAAAGATCATGTGGAAAAATAAAAATCAGAAAACATCCAGAAAAACTGGCAAGGAATAGATTCAAATATATACTAGAATTTAATATATGATAATGGCATTTTAAATTAAAGATACCAGTTAATCAAAACTACAAAGACAATTAACCAGTCATTTGGTAAAATAAAACTATATCCCTGTTTTTTTTTTTATGGCAAATAAAAAACCAAAACTGTAAAAAGTACTATGAGGTAACATGGAACAATACAAAGTAAAAAGATAATTGGCAAACCTAGAAAAACATATTCACATCATATAACATCAATTAAGGACCAAGAACCTTAATATATAAAAAGTTCTGGCTGGGCACAGTGGCTCACGTCTGTAATCCCAACACTTTGGGAGGCCGAGGCAGGAGGATCGCCTGAGGTCAGGAGTTCGAGACCAGCCTGGCCAGCATGGTGAAACCCTGTCTCTACTAAAAACACAAAAATCAGCCGGGTGTGGTGGTGCACACCTGTAGTACCAGCTACTCAGGAGGCTGAGGCAGGAGAATCGCTTGAACCCAGGAGACAGAGGTTGCAGTGAGCCAAGATCGCGCCACTGTATTCCAGCCAGGGCGACAGAGCAAGACTCCGTTTCAAAAAAAAAAAAAAAAAGTTCTTACTAATAGGCAAAAACTCAATAAAAATTTGGTATTTCATAGAAAGAATGTAAACAAATGTCTTTTAAATAGTCTAACCTCATTCATACTTTGAACATTTTAAATTAAAATGTGTCACTTTTTACCTATCAGATTGACCAAGGTTAAAGTTTGATAATACATAACACTGAAGAATATGGGGAAATAGGTGCTCTCATTGTTGTCAGAAGAGTAAAATGGTGTAAATCTCTTTGGTGAGTCATTGGTATTAACTCTCAAAAATTTTTAAATATCCATCATTAGACCTAGAAATTTCTTTTCTGAAAATTTATGCTCACAAAGGTGATTTTTTTACAAACTATTCAATGTAGAAATGTCAACAGTAACCGTGAAAGTATCAGAAACAACCCTAATGTCCATCAGTGGGGAACTGGGTATATAAAGGAAGTAGCACACAGCTGATAAAAAAAAAAAAAATGCAGTAGATCTAGCTGCTAATATAAGATGTTCCCCCATATTAAGAGGTAAAAGGTTTAGAACATGCACGTAGTGTATTTTCACTTGTAAAGAAAAAAAGATGGGGCATACACGTTTCCATATTGATGAAAAAGTTTAGGAAGGATACATAAGAAACTATTAACAGTGATCACTTCTGCAGAGGAGACCTGAGAAGAGATGACATATTTCACTCATGGTATACTTTTGAGCTCTAGAAATTTTTTGTCATATACATGAATACTTTTTTGACTGAAAGAAAAACCTAGTTAACAAGAAAAACAGCAGCAGCAGCAAAAATTATCATGAAAGGAATGGAAATAGACCTGAAAGATGCAGTATGTTTCTGGTAACTGAAGGGAAGACAGTCTAGGTAATGCATACACATACTCTGGCAATTAGGCCAGAATATGGGGTGTTTAATTTTGGCCTAAGAGGAGATATGTTCAAAAGGATAGAGGCTAAGTAAGATGGGGGGGATTAGGCCAGATGATATAGGGCCTTAAAAGTTAGGCAGAATAATTAAAACCTGATGAAAAAGGAAAAAAAGAAGCCAGAGGAGAGAATAATGGCATCTAAAGTGTTAGGCAGGATAATTCTGGCAAATGGTAAACAAAATAAAGTTAACAAAGAGAACTGAGAGTTAAGGATGCCAACCTATAGCCTCTGGCAGTAATCCAGGCAGGTGGTCATGATGGCCTGAACTAGAACTTGGTAGCAGGAATGGAGACTAGTGAATGAGTATGACAGACATTTTAAAAGAGATTACATATCAAGAAATGAATAAGAAGGATTCAGTAAGTATTACAAACTTTCAAATCTAGTAACCAGATTCCATTTAAAAGACTGAAATTTATGGGGGATAAACCAATTTTAGAAAAAGGACAGAAAATAGGATGAGATATGAAGTCCAAGAAGAAATATCCACCAGGCATTTGGAATCTAAGATACAGCAAATTTTTAACTGGAAGACTCACATCAGAATTCTGGCTCTACCACCTACCAACTCTGTGATCTGAGCCAATTACTGAAATATTTGAGTCTCAACTTCTTTGTCTGTAAAATGGGGTAAATATTTGTAAAGAACTGTTGATTTTCATAAAAAACACCTCTAGAAAAATATACAAAAAAATAGATATTGGTTGCCACTGGGCAAAGGAGCTACATAGATGAGAGAACAGTAGGCGGGAAACAGTCATTATACATCCTTTTGTAGTTTTGGAATTTTGACCACATGAATGTGTTGGCATTTAAAAAACTGAATTAAAATTAAAAATCAAATGTAAGTGAGGTAACATCTACTGTCTGTAAGATTACAAAGCCACTAAAAGTCAAAGCACTTTGTGACCCATACAGGCTACTATGTTAGAGAGCAATGTAGAAGCTCAGGTAAAAGGACTAGATTGTTGGAGGCCCTGCAAACTGGCATTAAGAAAGGCCATAAGAATGACAGAATAAATGGTAGAAAGCAGAGAGCCATGGACTCAACTTGGAAGAAAAAGGGCAGTGAAGAATACAGAGAAGGTGCAGGTTAGGTAGTGTTATGAATGAGTGAGGACAGTTAAGTGCCAAAGAGGCCAAGAGAAGGGGCAGGTTGACAGTGCCAAATGTAAAGTGCCTAAGCACAGTGACAGGAAAACAGATCAAAATGCAAGTGTATGAAAGAAAGAGCAGGGGATGAGGAAATAAAAGCAGATATAGATGCTGTTTTTGAAGTTCAAAAGAATGCATTTTAAAAAAGTGATTATTATTTAATACTATAATTTATATTTATTTATTCAAGCACTTAGGCCATTTCCGTTGTTCACTTTTTGTTACCTAAATTGGCCTGCCTTGTACTGTTAATTAGCTTGTGATTAGGACTAATATCCTAAACCAAACAGCCCCAGAAGTTAGGAACTATGTTCTATATTTATATGTATTCCATATTATGTCTCAGATTGCTCTATGTATAACAGATATTTAGCCTTCTGTGGTAATAAACTAGGTGAGAGATTTTATATAAAATGATAATATTAATAATTTTAAATAAGAAGAATTTTACCATTTAAAAAACTGAATATTAGAAAATCTTGTGATAAAATTATTTACAATGTTATATTCTGTTTCTGTCATCTAGCACATTATTGGGAACCTAAAGCAGTCTCAGTAAATAAATATTCGTTTAAGCCTGGGCACATAGCAAGGTCCCATCTCTACTAAAAATTTTTTAAAAATTATCTAGGTGTGGTGGGGCGCATCTGTAGTCCTAGCTACTTGGGAGGCTGAGATGGGAGAATCACTTGAGCCCAGGAATTTGAGGTTGCAATGAGCTACAATTGTGGTACAGCACTCCAGCTTGGGCAACAGGGTAAGACTCTGTCTTAAAAATAATAATAATAAAATTAAAAAACACTGATTTAAACGTTCATTAATCCAAATCAGTAAGCTTAACAGAGCAAATCATGAAGTTCCCCAGAAATGATACGTCAATCACATTTCCATATAAAATCTGGTTCGTGGACATTACCTATTACAAAATTGTTACCAGGACCATTTTTCATAACAAAAAGGAAAAACTGTCTTTTCAAATGGAGTCCTCTGTCTCATTCATTACCACTGCCTTCTTCACTAACTATTTGGTCTACATTTCCTTCTCTACTGGCTTAACTCACTACTCAACTAGAGGCTCTGGCCTGAATTATTGTTGTCTGGGTCAATCCCTAAATAGGGGCTTCTCCTACACCCTGGAATAGGACTGGTCACCAGGGATATGTTCCAGAAAAGTATAGTAAAAAGGAGTTTATAATCTTTAAAGTAAAGAAAAATGTTATGTTTGAAAGTATTCTGTCAGAGACAGAATACCTCAAAACTTTCTGTCTCCTTTGCAGTTATGCAAAGAAAAAGATTATTACAAGAACTAATTCTCAGGCTGAACTTGTTACTCCTCCTAGTCACAGGTAAGGTACAAATTAGAAGCTCTCAGAAGAGATAATGCTAAAAATAAAATTTACATCTTTGAGACTATCTGGAACAAATAATACTTTGCTCTGTAACAGAGAGGTTGCATAAATCAAATATTCTCTTCCAGTAAGACTACAGGCCAGGTGCGGCAGCTCACGCCTGTAATCCCAGCACTTTGGGAGGCCAAGGCGGGTGGATCACCTGAGGTCAGGAGTTTGAGACCAGCTTGGCCAACATGATGAAACTCTGTCTCTACTAAAAATACAAAAATTAGCTAGGCGTGGTGGCAGGCGCCTGTAATCCCAGCTACTTGGGAGGCTGAGGCAGGAGAATCGCTTGAACCCAGGAGGCAGAGGTTGCAGTGAGCTGAGACGGCATCACTGCACTCCAGCCTGGGTGACAGGGTGAGACTAAAACTCAAAAAAAAAAAAAAAAAAAGACTACAGCATCAGATATTGTAAACTATTAATAGAGATTAACACAAGCTAAGATGGTTATTTATCCCAGCATGGCATCAAAAAAATCTAAAGAAAAATATAAACACACTAAAAAATGTTTTTCCTATGAAACTATCGTTTTTGACTACCGTAATAATAATAATATACTTGGACCTTGATTTAGGCCCTTCCTTCTTTCAGGTTTTTAAAGGTATACAGAATGAAAGCTATTCATTTAAACCTGAAATATCTGATTCCATCTGAAAATTATAATACTAACCAACAAACCAGAAAAAGTAGCAATGGAAATGGACACAATGTGAACCTGAAATACTAAAACTCAAAAACAACCAGCAATGATAAGACTGGCTGAGACAAAGGCAGAAAGTAACAAAAGAAGGAAAGACAAAAGGAGAGAAGGAAAGACAAAAGGAGAGAAGGAAGAAGGGAAGCCCTACAATTACTCTTGGTAATTGTAAAATAATGATGGAAGAAATAAGTAAAAAACCTGTTATACAATCACTCTTGGTAATTGTGAGTAAAATTCAAATTCAAAATCAACACCTTATTACT
Organism: Homo sapiens; assembly: GCF_000001405.40. Lineage (NCBI taxonomy): Eukaryota > Metazoa > Chordata > Mammalia > Primates > Hominidae > Homo > Homo sapiens. Next base: position 211,994,271 of record NC_000001.11, read on the forward strand.
TTAGAAAAGGTTAAATCGTTAGAATTGTTTTCCCCTGCTGTATTTCAGTATTTTCAAAAATATATCTAGGCTATAAAAAATGATTAATTGACAACATCTGTTTAATTAAAATCAACATGCTCAGGATTCAGCTGCAATGGAAAAAAAATTCTCTTTTTTTTTTTTTTTTTGAGATGGAGTGTTGCTTTTGTCACCCAGGCTGGAGTGCAATGGCGTGATCTCAGCTCACTGCAACCTCTGCGTCCCTGGTTCCAGCAATTCTCCTGCCTCGGCCTCCTGAGTAGCTGGGATTACAGGTGCGTACCACCACACCCAGTTACTTTTTGTAGTTTTTTTTTGTTTAGTAGAGATGAGGTTTCACTATGTTGGCCAGGCTGGTCTCAAACTCCCGACCTCAAGTGATCCGCCTACCTCCGCCTCCCCAAGTACTGGGATTACAGGCATGAGCTACTGTGCCCAGAGGAAAAAAATTCTTCATGAAGAAACAAACATTAAAAAAAAAGTATGTTCAATTAAAAAAAAAACAAAACAAAACACAAAAATCCATAAGAAACATAAATCAGAATAAAAATTCAAGATAAGATATGGTATAATGAAGAAATAATAGTAAGCTGTGAATCAACAAAACAATTGCATTTAACTAATTGTTAATGTGGTTGTAAAGCTCAATGCAAATATTATTTTTAAAAATTATTACAAAAAAGAAACTTCATAGTATTAAAAAAAAAGATAACTGGCAATTAGATTCCAGATTACTTTAACATGATATGGGGTGAGGGGAAGATGAATGGCAGCAGAAAAGAGAATTAGGCCTCTTAAAATTTGCAACATTTCAGCCATCATAATTTTCATTCTTAATGTTAATAATTATGCCTAATTAGCACATTAAAATCTTTTAACTCACTAGAGGAAGACAAGAACAAAGAAAACTTGATCAAAATAGCAAAGAAAAGCGATGGGACAAAGGAAACAGAAAGCATTACAGACAGCATAAAATAATGATGGAAGAAATAAGCAAAAAAACTTGTTATACCAATAAATGTAAACAACTTATGGTACACATTTTTAAAGACTCGAATTAAGTCAAAAGAGGTAAACTGTTTTTTCTTTCTTTATTTTACCTGACAGCAATAACTTCAGCATCAAAAGAGGTAAATCTAACTATAAGGATCATACCTAGATGACAGAGAAAGGTTAAACGGATAATAAAATTGGCAAAGACAAAAGATACATGCAAAGAAAAACAAGCAAGTGGCAATATTAACAAAATGAATGAGGCCAAGGCTGCAAATAGAACAGAAGATTCTTTTATGCAGATAAAACTCTCTATGGAATAAGACAGCCCTAATATTTTTTAATTGAAATGGTTAGATATTGCTGTGGTCTGAATATTTGTGTCTCCCCGAAAATTCCTATGCTGAAATCCTAACCGCCAAGTTGATGGAATTAGGAGGTGGGGACTTTGAGAGGTGATTAGGCCATAGGGAAGGAGCCCTCATGAATGGGGTAAGTAACCTTACAGAAGAAGCACAAGGGAGTGTGGTCACCCCTTCCACCATGTGAGGGCCAAAGCAAGAAGACAGAAAGTGGGCCCTCACCAGACACTGAATCTGCTGGAGTCATGATTTTAGACTTCCCAGCTTCCAGAAATGTCCGAAATAAATTTGTGTTATTTGTAAGCAACACAGGTTATGGTATTGCTACAGCAGCCCAAATGAACTAAGAAAAATATAAACTGGAGTGAGAAACTAAAGACTATCAAAATTTCACACACTGACAAGAGAAAAAAACTAATTTAAGATATAGTATACCTAAGTAATATCACCAATAAAATAAGAGTCAACAGAGCTTATAGAAAATATGTCTTCTGGCCGGATGCGGTGGCTCACCCCTGTAATCCCAGCACTTTGGAAGGCCAAGGTGGGTGGATCACTTGAGATTGGGAGTTCAAGACCAGCCTGGTGAACCCGGCGAAACCCCATCTCTACTAAAAATATAAAAATTAGCCAGGCATGGTGGTGGGCAGCTGTAATCCCAGCTACTCAGGAGGCTGAGACAGGAGAATCGCTTGAACCCAGGAGGTGGAGGCTGAGGTGAACTGAGATAGCACCACAGCACTCCAGCCTGGGCAACAGAGGAAAACTCCATCTCAAAAACAAAGCAAAACAAAAAAAAAATGTCTTCTTTTCAAACCCCTGAACTGTTTACAAAAAGTGATCCTACAATGGGCCACAAATAAACTTTAAGAATGACAAAAAGCAACAACAAAAATTCCACCAACAAATATGGAAAATTAATCACTTCAAAAGCAGAAAACATTAAACTAATGCCATGGTCAAAGAAGAAATAAAAATTGCTCTCATGGATATTAAAAAAAATCACTTACAGTAGCATTAAGACCATGAAATATTTAGGAATGTATCTAACAAAATATGTGCAAGATTTGTATGCTGAACTAAAAACCACCCATATGGCCTGGCGCAGTGGTACACGCCTATAACCCCAGCACTTTGGGAGGTCCAGGCAGGCAGACTGCTTGAGCCCAGGAGTTTGAGACCAGCCTGGACAAAATAGCGAGATCTCACCTCTACAAAAAAATACAAAAATTGGCTGGGTGTTGGTGTGCACCTGTGGTTTCAGCTCCTTGGTAGGTTGAAGTGTGAGGATCGCTTAAGCCTGGGGGGTCAAGACTGCAAAGAGCCGTGATCGCACCACTGCACTCCAGCCTGGGCACTGGAGTGAGACCCTGTCTCAAAAAATAAATAAATAAAAATAAAAACCACTGATAAGATGCGGGATAAAAGACTACAAATTGGGTACAGTGTATAGTGCTTGGGTCATGGGTACACCAAAATCTCACAAATCACCACCAAAGAACTTACTCATGTAACCAAACACCACCTGCTCCCCAAAAACCTATGGAAAAAACAAAACAAAACAAAAATACCACTGATGAGAAACTGAAGAAGAGCTGAAAAAAAAGAGAGAGATAGGCCAGGTGCAGTGGCTCATGCCTGGAATCCTAGCACTTTGAGAGGCTGACGTGGGCAAATCATTTGAGACCCGGAGCTTGAGACCAGCCTGGGCAATGTGGCAAAATACCAGCAATACAAAAATTAGACAGGCATGGTGGCGTGTACCTGTAGTCCCATCTACTCAGGAGGCTGAGGTGGGAGATCACCTGAGGCTGCAGTGAATCATGACTGCACACCATTGCACTCCAGCCTGGGCAACAGAGTGAAACCTATCTCCAAACAGAAAAAAAAAAAAAAAAAAAAAAGGGAGAGATGTACCATGTTCATGGATCAAAAAAACACAATACTATTGGCCAGGCACAGTGGCTCTCACCTATAATCCCAGCACTTTCGGAGGCTGAGACGGGCAGATCACTTGAGATCAGGAGTCTGAGACCAGCGTGGCCAACATGGTGAAACCCCATCTCTACTAAAAATACAAAAGTTAGCTGGGGGTGATGGTGCGCACCTGTAACCCCAGCTACTTGGGAGGCTGAGGCAGGAGAATGGCTTGAACCTGGGAGGTGGAGGCTGCAGTAAGCTGAGATCACACCACTGCACTCCAGCCCTGGTGACAGAGCAAAACTCCAACTCAAAAAAAAAAAAAAACCACAATACTATTAAGATGTCAATTCGTCCCAAATTGATCTTTAGATGTAAAGACCAACAAAAATCCCAGCAGCCTTTTTTTTCATAGAAATTTACAAACTGATTCTAAATTTTACATGGAAAGGCAGTAGACCTAGAACAGCCAAATTTGAACTCTTGGCCTCAAGCGATCCCGCCAGCTCAGTCTCCCAAGTAGCTAGGACTGTAAGTGTATACCACTATGCCTAGCTGATTTTTAAAATTATTTTTTTTGTAGAGACAGGGTCTTACTATGTTGCCAAGGCTACTCCTAAACTCCTCACCTCAAGTGATCCTCTCACCTTGGCCTCTTAAAAGCACTGGGATTATAGGCATGAGCCACCACATCCCACCCAGCGTAACAATTTCGAAAAAGAAATACAAAGGTAGGGGACTCACACTATCTGATTCCAAGAGTTGCCATAAAACGATGGTAATCAAGACAGTGTATTATTTGCACAGACCAATAGAACAGAATAGAATTTGGAAATAAATCCATACAGATATTGTCAACTGATTTTCAACAAAGATGCTAAAGTAATTCAATGGGGAAAGAAAAGTTTTCCCCACAAAATGGTGCCACAACTGGCTATCCAAAGCACCTTGATGCCTACCTTGTACCATACACAAAAGTCAACTCAAAATGGATCACACAGGGCTATATATAAAACTTAAACTATAAAACTTTTAGGAGAAAACTTTTGTGATTTTGGATTAGGCAGACTTCTTAGATAAAATACAACCTATAAAAGAAAAAAACATTAATAAACTAGATAGATTTTATCAAAACTTAAAACTTCTTTTTAAAAGACAGATACTAAAGATACATATTGAGAGGGAATATTTGTAAAACATACATCTGATAAAGGATTAATATCAAGAATATATAAATAACAATAACAAAAAGACAAAAAAACCTAATAAAAAAAGAATAAAATATTAGAATAGGCACTTCACTGAAGATACAGATGACAAATAAGCCTGTAAGATGCTCAACATCATTAGCCATTAGGAAAGCGCAAAATAAAACCATGATGAGATACCACTACACACTATTACAAAACCATACAACACAAAGTGCTGGCAAGGATACAGAACTAAAACTCTTATATATGGCTGGTGGGTAAGTAAAATGGTATCGCAATTTTGGAAAACGGTTTGGCAGTTTCTTACAAAGTTAAACAGAGTAAGTGTTTACCACACAACCCAGCAATTCCATTTCTAGGTATTTAACCAAGAGATGTCACACAAAACCGTGTATGATTGCAGCTTTATTCATAATGGCCAAAAACCCAGAAACAATCCAAATGTCCATCAACTTATGAACAGACAAATTGTTGTACGCCCATGTATCTGAATACTGCTCAGCAATAAAAAGGAATGAACTATTGCTACATGCAACAACATGGATAAATATTAAAAGTATTATGGTAAGTGAAAGAAGCCATATCCAAAAGGCCACATACCATATGATTCTATTTATATCCTGGAAAGGCAAAATCACAGCAACAGAAATCAGACTGGTAGTTGTCAGGGGTTGGGGAAAGGACTGACTACAGAGGGGCCTGCAGAAACTTCTGGGGGTAATGAAAATGTTCTGTATCTCAATTGTGGTGGTGGTTTTGTACATTTGTAAAAACTCATCCAACTGCAAACCTAGAAAAGTTTCTGTAAATAAATTATACCATAATAAATCTGGCTTTTTAAAAAATGCATTTCAAACTAATGGCAATGAGAACAATACAAGACATAATTTACAAAATGCGGTCAATCTGTACCAAGAAGCAAATTAATGGTCTTAACTGCTTTCATTATTAAACGGAAAAAATAAAAATGAATATACCAAGGATTTGAAAAAGATAAGAAAGCAAAGCTTCCGGCAAGTCTAATCAAGGAAAAGGGGATATATAGGCCGGGCGTGGTGGCTCATGCCTGTAATTCTAGTACTTTAGGGAGGCCGAGGCACGTGGATCACCTGAGGTCTGGAGTTCAAAACCAGCCTGGCCAACAGGGTGAAACCCTGTCTCTACTAAAAATACAAAAATTAGCCAAGCAGGGTGGCTCATGCCTGTAATCCCAGCTACTTGAGAGGCTGAGGCAGGAGAATCGCTTGAACCCTGGAGGCAGAGGTTGCAGTGAGCCGAGATTGTGCCACTGCACTCCAGCCTGGGCAACACAGTGAGACTCTGTCTCAAAGAAAAAAAAGAAAGAAAGAAAGAAGAAAAAGGAAAAAGGGATATAAACACAAATGTACAAGATAAAAAAAATTTTTAAATCAAAGCTATTAGAAGTTATAAAGACTCTTTATGCTGATACTAATGAATTTGAGAAGTAAATTAAATGGGAAACAAATGACCAAAACTGATTCCAGAAGAGGTAAAAAACTGACAGGACAATAACATGTAGTGATTGGAAATGTTCTCAAAACAACTATCGCTGGAAAAAGTTCTACATTCAGATAAATTTGTGGTACTTTTAAAGTTGTATCTTCAGAAACAGAAAATTCTGTTATACTTCTTAACCACTCCAGAGTATAGAAAGAGAAACTTCCCAGTTCATTTTAAGACAGCACAACCCCAACCCTACAATCTGTCAAAGTATTCAAAAAGGAAAAACTAAAGAATAAACTTACCTTTAATATAACTTACAGCTACCCTTAAAAAAGCATTTATTTGTATGTGCCAGACACCACATTATATATTGCTTTACTCAAATATCTTACATGGCAATCCTCTATTTCCCTAGTTTATTTGAATTTCTGTGTTTCTTTAAAACCTTTCTCTTTGCCTCCTCCATTTTTAACCATACCTAATGACCATGTTTCCTAATTACCTAACAAAACAAAACCCAAAAAAAATCCATCACAAGAGACTTTCTATAACTTTTTACCATAATACCTACTCATTCACCTACATTAGGCTTCTTAAGGTCTTCCTTCCTATTCTATGTGAACTAGAGAAAGCCTATCTACTTCTACACTGGATCCCTTCCAGTCTCACCCACTCAAGGCCATTGCTGTTGCAATTCTTCCCCTCTACCAGGTCATTTCCATCAATAAAAAACAAGTTTACTCCTCCGAGGATAAAAACAAACAAACAGCATACCCTTTAGCAATACCATATCATTTCTCTGCTCCCTTGAGGGCAGAATTCCTTTTTTTTTTTTTTTTTTTTGAGACAGAGTTTTGCTCTTTTTGCCAGGCTGGAGTGCAATGGCGCGATCTAGGCTCACCGCAACCTCTGCTTCCCGGATTCAAGCGATTCTCCTGCCTCAGCCTCCCAAAGTAGCTGGGATTACAGGCATGCGCCATCACGCCCGGCTAATTTTGTATTTTTAGTGGAGACAAGGTTTCTCCATGTTTGTCAGCCTGGTCTTGAACTCTACCCACCTCGGCTTCCCAAAGTGCTGGGATTACAGGCATGAGCCACCACGCCCGGCCCAGAATTCCTCTTAAAACGTTTTCTACAGTAGGCACTCAATATTCATGGGTTCCGCATCCACTGATTCAACCAAATCCAGATCGAAAGTATTTGAAATAATAATAAAAAAGAATAATACAAATAAAAAAACAACATAATACAACTATTTACTTAAGATTACATTGTATTAGGTATTATAAGTAATCTAGAGAAGGGTTGGTCCTGGAACCAATCTCCAGCGGATACTGAGAGACCAATGTACATTCACTGCCTTAAATCTCCCTCCTGTTTTCCTGCAGAATCCACTCTACTCAGTCTTTTACCCACAATGTTGCAGCAAAATTGCTCTCTTAAGGTTATCAATGACTTCATATTGCCAAACGCAAAGGTGAACTATCAGTCCTTATCTTGGCGAATATGGCTGCAGTAGCTCTCATGGTAGATCAAGGTCTTCTCCCTATAAAATACTATTCTGACTTACATATCACTGGCCACTCCTTTTCAGGCCCCTTTGCTGGTTGTTTCTCAGTTCATCATTCCCTAAATCTTCTCTAGCCATATTGTCTCCCTAGTTGAGTCATCCAGTCTCATGGCTTCAAATACCATCTATAAACTGACAACTCTCATATTTATAACCTCAGCTGGATCTGTCCACTAAACTCCAGGCATATGTCCTTGACATCTCCACCTGGATGTCTAACATTTTACAGTTTATATACTCAGAAGTAAACTCTTGATCTTCAAGAAATGAGTCTCCCAGAGTCTTGCCCATTCCAAGTAAATCACAATTGCATTTGTTGATGGTAAAAAGCTTAGAGCCACCTTTCTTTCTCTACACTATACCAGGAAATCCATCAGCTCTAGCCTTTAAAATATATCCAAACTATTACCACTTCTCACTACCACCCCAACTACCTTGGTTCAGGTAACCACATATTTTCTAATTCGATTATTTGTAACTGCCTCTTAAATGTTCTCCCGGCTTCTGCCTTTGGGCCCCTACAACCTAGTCTCAATATAGCTAAGCCAGAGATAATCTTTTAGAACTTAAGTCAGATAATGTCCTCTGCTCAGAATCTTCCAGAGGCAATCTATCTCATGTAGAGTAAAAAGCTAAAGTCCTTAAGAAGGACTCAAAGGCCCTAAATGCCTATTCTTCCCTACCATCACCTAACATCACCTCCTACTAATCTCCTCTATTAACAGTCACACTGACCTCACACTCATGAATGTTCTCACTTCAGGGCCTTTTGGCTTTTCTCCTCCTGATAATACCCTTCCTTTAGGGGCCCACAAAATTGACATTCCCTTCTTTAGGTCTTTGCACAAATGTCAACTTCGCAGTGAGGGTTTCCCTAACCAGCCTACTTAAAACTGCAACCTCCACCTTCCATATTCACTAATCTTCTTCCTGACTTAAGTTTTCTTGGCAGCATTTATCACTGTCTGACGTCTCTGCCTAGCGGAAGCAAATGCAAATCCCTACAGGAATGTACTTTTTGGTTTGAGCCTCAAAGAATTCCCACACATACTTCTCCAAGAATAATGACTAGTTCAAAGTGAAAAACAATCAGGTATACAAGGAAAAAGGGTATAGAAATAGAGAGTAGAGACAAATCTGCAGACTTTAGATAAACTGAAAAAATAATTATTGAACTAAAACATATATAAGAAGAAATTACTGAGAACTTAGCACAAAGAGATAGAAAATAGAAAACAAGATAAGGAACATGAGGGATTAACGGGAGAAGGGTTATCATACATTTAATAGGAGGTCCAGAAGAAAAGGTGAGAAAAAGAGACAGCGGCAATATCTGAAGAAATTACAAGTAACAATTTCCCAGAATTGCTGAAAGACACCAATCTTCTGATTCAAGAAATCAAACATAGTCTAGACAGTTTAAAAAGAAATTCGCAACTAGACATTTCATAGTGAAACTACAGAAAATCAAGTCAAAGAGAACAATTTTAAAGCAAAAAAAAAAAAAAAAAAAACCCTTCAAAGAGTATTACTATTTTTCAGTGGCAATAAAGAAAACCAGTAGACAGCAGAATGGTATCCTCAATGCCCTGGGAATTCTATCCCAAGAAAGCATCTTTCAAGATTGAGGACAAAATGAAAGCATTTTCAGGCAAGCAAATATTGAGAGGGTTTACCACCACAGACTCTCACTCAAGGACCTTCCGAAGGCAGAAGGAAAAGTAACTAGGAAATAGCTGAGATGCAAGAAGAGCAAAGACAGTGGAAGGTGCAAATGAACAATGAATTCCCTAAACAATAACAAAATTGTATCAGAAAAAAGTTTAATTATATTTTATTTAACTTGTATCTTAATTATACAAGACAATAATACATAAAAGTGTAGAGTGATGAAAATGGCATTCAAATGTGTTCAAAGGACTTTTAGCAGAATTAACTTTAGACTGATAAAAATGACTATGAGTTATATTTTCATTTCTAGGATAACAACTAAAAGAATATTTAACAAGACTGTATACTTCCAGACTAGTCAAGTCAAATGGAATGGTAAGATATCAAAAATAATCAATACAGGAAGAAACCCCCCTCTCCTCCAAAGAGTGAAAAGGAACAGGGGAGACAGAGAGAAAACACAAAATAAAATGGTAGATTTAAACTCAAATGTGTGACAAATCATAGTAAATCAGAAGAATCAAATGCTCCATCTGAAAATGACAAAGACTGCCAGGCTGGATTAAAAATAATCCAATTAGTCCAGGCACGGTGGCTCACACCTGTAATCTCAGCACTTTCGGAGGCTGAGGCAGGTGGATTGCTTGAGGTCAAGAGTTCAGGACCAGCCTGGGCAACATGATGACGATTCTCTACTAAAAATACAAAAATTAGCTGGGTGTGGTGGCACATGCCTGTAGTCCCAGCTGCTTGGGAAGTTGAGGTGGGAGGATGGCTTGAACCCTGGAGGCAGAGGTTGCAGTAAGCCAAGACTGCACCACTGCACTCCAGCCTGGGTGACAGAGCAAAATTCTGTCTCAAAAAAACCCAAAAAACCTCCAATTAAATGCTGTTTATAAGAAACATGTGAAACATAAAGATATATAAAGATTGAAACTAAAAAGATGGTAAACAACCTATCATGTCAACATATGTAAAAGAAAACTAAAGTAGTGATATTAATATCAGACGAAATAGACTAGGGCAAGAGACACATTTAAGGGACCTAAAATAAGTGGAAAGATATAACATGTTCATGCACTGGAAGACAATATTATAAAGTTACCAATTTCTTACAAACTAATCTTTATATTCAGTGTAATCCCAATCAAACTGTTAAATTTGACAAGCTGATTCTGAAATTTATATAGAATTGTCAAGGACTAACAAAGTATGAGTATTCCAAATATATAAAAAATAACTATGAATCAACAGAAAAATAGGCAAGAGACCTGAATAGCCATGTCATAAGAGAAAATCCAAATGGTCAATAAACATATTAAAAAGGTGTTCAATTTCTTTAATAATCAAGGAGCTACACATAAAAAGTACAACTTCTAAACTGGTAAAAAACGTAAGTCTGATAATTCTATGTGTTGGTACGGATGTGATTAATGGACGCCCTCATACACAGCAGGAATGTAAACTGGTTCATTGACTTTGGAAAACAGTTTGACATCATCTGTTAAAACTGAAGATACGCATTTTCTGTAAGTCAGAAATTTCATTCCCAGGTATACACTCTAAAGAAATTTGCGTGTGTGAACTGGGAGACAAACAGAAGAATGTTCTGCACTGTTTGCAATAGGCCCATGCGGAAATAACCCATCGAGAGCAAATAAACTGTGATACATTCATACAATGGGATAGTACATTACAATTAAAGGGGAAAGACATGGATGAGTCTCACCAGTGTAATGCTGAGCAAAAGAAACAAAAACAAAGCTAAACAGTATTCTTTAGGAAGACATGTGAAGAAGGTAAAAGAAGAGCAAAGAAATTATTATCATGAAAGTCAAAATGGTGGTTTGCTTTTGGAAGGTGTAAAGTTTCAACCAGGAAGGACCACGCAAGGGAAGGAGGCAGGGTTCTGTGATCCTGTAATGTTCTATTTCTAGCTGGATGGTAGTTGCATGGGTTTTCACTTAAAAGTATTTAAAATATTTATACATTTTACATACTTTTCTCACTTAAAGGTATTTAAACTATTTATATATTTTACATACTTTTCTGTATGTATGATCTATCTCACAATAAGAAAAAAATGAGAAGGAATAATACTGTGCTTCTCACTCATCTTTCTAAATAACTGGGTTTGGTTCTTTGTACAAATTCTCTAAAATGACTAAAGTGGCTGGGCACATTCTCTTCTTGGAAAGATAGCATTATTTAGTAGAAAAAGCAATAAGACTAGGGATCAGAGGACAGAAGCTCTCTTAATTAAATTCTTAATTTACTTCTCTTAAGATGCTCTCTTAAGCATATTAAGTCTCTCTGAACCCTAACTGCTTATCTATTAAATGCAGATTTAACAACTGCCCTTATCTTGGGATATCTGTGACTATCAAATCATAATATAGTAAATTAAAAGATGTTTAGAAAACAACAAACAAACAAACAGAAAAACAAACACAGCAGTTTAGTTTTAATAATCTGAAATTCAAAGATTTTTAATCCACTGGAGTCATGATGAAGCTGAGAGATAAAAACTACCGTTCCATTTTAAATAGCATTATTTGCAAAATGGTGTTATTTCTATCGGTAATGGGTAAACAAACAGGGTTCTATTTTGAGAAAAAAATAAACATAAAATATTAATTTAACCTAACAGATGGTAAGAGATGGTGTCAAAGATGCACATTAAAAGTCTAAAGAGTGAGATCTGCTCTTCTGTTTACAAAAGAAGACTTAGGAATGTCTTCAGCTCTCCAGGAAGAGAGAAATATATTTCCCAAGTTGCCCATCCAGCCCTACCTCCATTACAGATAACATTCAGCCCCTAAATTTTTCTCCCCAAATTGACTGAAAAATACAAGAATAAAAAAACCAAACCAATGTAATTGGGCTTCTCAATTAGCCTTAGTGCCACTATGGGAGAATGAACAAGCAACTGAGTGGCAAGTTTCACTGACTAAAACAAACATTGAAGTATAGAAGTTTTATGTATTTATTGTGCCACTTATAAAATAACTGCCACAAACATCAACAATGCTTTTAGAAGTTTTTCATATTCAACCACTTAGAAGATGACAAAGACAATATAAAAATGCAAAACATTTTACTATATTATAATGTTATATTATTTTTTCTATATAAAATGTTACAAGTTCTACATACCTGAATATTCTCCCTACTCCAAGTATGTGGTGTTTTATTAGCAAGTAATTTCAGATCTTGAATAGCAAGTCTCTTTACTGCCTTCCTGGGATCATTCTTCAAATACTGCAACAGAAGCTGAATCTATAAAGGAAATAAGTCACTCCATAAACAATACTGTAACTGAAATGATCATTAGAAATGCAGTGTAGTTTAGTGAAACTTATAAAGGGACAGGACTCACTTCAAATCAGAGCCCTGTCACTCACTAGCTATGTGCCCACATTTGGGCCTCTTTCTCCATGTTTGTAAAATACTACCATTTAACTTTAAAGTTTTAGCACAGGCCCTGGCATTTTACAGATACTCAATCCTTTCTTTTTTTTTTTTTATACGGCCAACTTCACACCCAGCCATGTACTCCATAACATCTCATTTTCCTCAAGGGCTCCCAACAATCAGTACTGTGAACAGAGAGAATAAAAAAGCAAGCAAAAGCAAATTAATCTGACCTTTATTAGAGAAAAGAACCTTAATGTCCTCAAGACTTGTGGGCCACTTTCTTATTTCTAATCATATATTTAATATGTAAGTTTACCAAAGATAGGCAGTTTAAAGAAAATTGAAATTACCTGCTTAGGTGTATCAACCAAAGATGACGCTGCAAGCAGAGTGAAAGTGTGCAAAGACACAATCACCATTTTGGTGGACGGATAGGATGTGACCAGCTGTTGTAAAAGCTGACGAGCACTGGAAGCCAAGATTGCATCATGGTGCATGTGCTGTAGAATGGGTATCAATTTTAGCTTCAAGTCTACTGGTGTCGCTAAACCTAGACACAAAAATAATTCTCAAGGTATTTGTGATCACCATCCTTAATAATATTCCAGATTTAAAAGCTGTGACTCATTTAGCAAAATTGCACTTGAAAAACACAGTATACTAATATATTTATAACATTAAAGATTATACTAGAACCAATTGATAAATTCAATATTTTTTCCTAAGTATTTATCTTGACATTAACTTTTCAATGATTATAAAACTACATGCTGATAATAAAAACTGCCTTTAAAAAGCACAGTAGAAAGCAAAGTCATATTTGCTGCCTATTTCCTCTCATTGTCATAGTAAAAAAATTATACATACACATATACATATATATACACAAACACACACACTTGATGGCTACAGTCTGATTATACTTATGATTTTAATTATTTCCTTCAACAACTAAATCATAATCAGGATGTGAATAAACTGTGTGTAGAATGGTTTCGAAGTCCTCTGAACTTTGTGTAGTAAATGCCTTTCTTTATTGCATACACGACTGGATCCATGAAGACTAACCCTAATCCACGTTTTCCTGTCAACAGTGGAGCGAAACCAACAAATCTTTTCTCTATGGCATGGCTTTGTGGTCATGGTGAACACAAATTTCTCAGTCGTAATGTACCACATACATGCCACAAGCTAATTATACTCTGCGTATTGCTGGCTTTTCCATGGTGAAATAATTGTGGGTATGAACGTAAGACAGCATTTCAACGTCCAACAGTTGCCTACGTCAATAAACTCCCTTGCTAGATGGCCTCTACTTGGGTTTGCCAGAGGGAAAAGAATGAGATCAGAGTATTCCCTGCTTTCCTCTCTGCAGGGTCACATCATGCTCATGTTATTACTTTGTTCCTTAAGGTTCTGAATGCACTTGACACTGCTGACCATTCTATCTTTGAAACTCACTCCTAATGGCTTTGGCTCTTCCACTTTTACTGTTTTCTGACCTCTTTCTCTGGCTGTTCCTTCTTAATCTCCTTTGTAGTCTCCTTGTCTGTCTACGCTTTAATTTCTGATATTCCCATAGGTTGGTAATAAATTCTCTTCTCATTCTATGTGTTTTCCCTGAGTGAGCTGATATAATCCCATGGTTTCCATTATCGGCTAAATGTGAAAGGCTGCCACCCATCCGTCCTCCTGCCCCGACGTCAGACGCATGTATCTCATTATCTTCTGGTCATCTGCACTAGGAGGTCTCAGAAGCATTTTGTATTAATAAGGCTCAAAGAGAACTGATCTTAACCTTGAAACTGCCCCTCCAAAAATATTCCTGTCTCAGTAAATCACATCATTATAGCTTCTTAGACCCTGGAGTCTTTCTTATTAGTGAAAGGATTCTATCACATCCCATTTCCAAATGTATTAGCAAATCTTATTGGTTCTAACTTCAAAATAAAACCCAAACTGACTCTTTCTACCTCCGTTGTTACCATGCCGATCCATTTCCACTACCATCTCTTGACTAAATTATTGCAAGTCTCCTAAGTATTCTCCCTGCTTAGGCCTTTCCCCATGGCAGACTCCACTCTTATATCCCCCTCTTTCCTCCACTGCAAGTTTATTCTCAACCCAGTACTCAGAGGGATCTTTGTGTTTACAGGCATCTTTACTAAAGATTTAGGGAGGCTCGGAGATTTTACTTGGCAGAAACAAAAGTGGCTTAAAACCAAATGTCAGGATTCTGTTCCTAAAACTCCTCTTTCATTTCCATATCTTAGGTTCCAATTTTCCTCCACCCACACTCCTATGTTTTCCTCTGCCTCTCTCTCCTGCTAATTCCTGTTCTTTCAGATTTTTTTAAGATAAAATTTAAGGAACAATAAGGTAATGAATCTTAAGTGTACAGATTAATGTATTTCTACATATGTATATTCTCATATAACTGTCATCAGATACACAGAATACTCCAGCATCCTAGAAGGCTCACCTGTATAGCTTTCATCAACTCCCTTGCTATCTACCCTTTGTTTGGGTTTAACCAATGGAGAGCCCAGCAGGAGTTGCAGAGAAGAATGAGGTCAGAGTA
Organism: Homo sapiens; assembly: GCF_000001405.40. NCBI lineage: Eukaryota > Metazoa > Chordata > Mammalia > Primates > Hominidae > Homo > Homo sapiens. The sequence continues at coordinate 212,009,481 of NC_000001.11, forward strand.
TTTATTCCCTGGTTCTCTCACTGCAGGGTCACATCATGCTCCTGGAGGTTAGCTTCTCAAAGTGGTCCTCCTGACATGATACCAATTTTCTAGTAACCTCTCTTTAACCTGTACCCTTAGAGGTATGGTAAAAGCTATTACGGGTTCAAGAACTACATTATCCCCTATAGTACACCCTGACCATGCCTTTGTGAATGGTTCCTTTATTACACCTTCCTTGAGTTATCTTAATTCAAATGTGCCACCTGTTTCCTGCTGAGATCTTGTCTGATGCAGCAGGCACTGATAAAATCTGCTCAATGAATAAGTGATGCTTCCTTCTAATGTCATAAGGATACTTTTCTGCAGGAAAGCCCTTTTGCTAATGGTGGAAGAAAAAACACAAAGGAATAAAGGGGAACACAACAAAGCTCATTCACTGTATCTTGGTCTTTAAGTGATTTTTATTATTTATGCAAGTGAGCAAGTTCTCTTTAATTTTAATTTGAAGGACAATTTAAATGCGTGCAAAATATAACTACACTAAGCAATTCATGCCTTAGAAGGGCACAGTAGCATAAGTGGTTAAAAGCATCGGCCTCAAAGCCAAACTGTAAGTTATCAGCTTTTTTACTGTGAACCAATCATTCAGCTTTAGTGTGGCTCTATTTCCTTTCCTGTAAAACGAACATAATGGTATTACCTATCCAAGGCTGCCACATTGCACAATTCAAAGGAATGCTCTTTATAAGAATATAAACAAAGTGGTGTTCTCTAGAGTCAGGCAATGCTGTAGCCCAAGAGCTCCCTTTTATGACTGCTAGGATAAATAGGGGTATGACACGTGTATTAACCCTATGGGAGCTCTTGGGCTCCCATAATGACTGTTGTAAGGATAAATAGGGTTAATACACATGACTTATGGTATAAGAGACTGGAAAACCAGGGCTTTGTAGTCTATGGTAAGGAATCTGGATTTGATTCTAAATGCAACTGGAAGACACTGGAGGGACATTAGCAGAGAGTTCCAGAGCTCCTAATAATATTAGCCTCTCTCACACAGAGCAGTCTTCCCTACACTAATCATGCCCCCCATAAGTATGCTTTGGTGAATGATGGACCACATGACAGACGGTGGTCCCATACGATTATAATGGAGCTGAAAAATTCCTAGTAACTTCATAGACCCTGTAGTCATTGTAACACCACAGTGCAATATATTACCTTTTCTACCTCAGATATACAAATCATTTTGTTACAATTGCCTATGGGTATTCAGCACAGTTACATGTTGTATAGGCTTAGAGCCTAGGAACAATAGGCTATACCATACAGCCTAAGTGTACAGTTGGCTATACCATTTAGGTTTATTTAAGTACACTCTATGAAGTTCAAACAACAAAACTGCCTAAGGACCCATTTCTCACACAGGATCCCCATTGTTAAGCAATGCAAGACTATATCTGCATGGCTCACTCCTTTCTCTCCTTCATGTCTCACTCAAGTATCACCTCATCAGAGACTGTCTCTGATCAATATATACAAAAAAGTCCCTTCTCTGATCAATATATATAAAATAGATAAGTCCCTTCTCTCAACCCACCAACGACTTACTTTTGAGACTCTCTATCCTTCTTCTCTCACTTTTTCACCATAGCACCAGAAATGTCATAGGCACATTTGTCTATCCCCACACACCCCACCCCTGACTAGAGTGTAGGTTAGATGGGGGTAAGGACTTTGTTTTGCTCATTCCTGTATCCTCAGCATTTAGAACAGTTTGGGCAAATAGAAGATACTTAATAAATATTATTTGAATGTATGGTGACTAGCAAATAATAAGTACTTAATTAGTGTTAGCAACTATTATAAATCTAATTAAGTCACTTCATAATACTAAATGAAGAATACATACCTTGAATCATTTCACTGATTTTGTTACAGATTCCTACAGCAAAATCCCTTTGGAAAAAGAGAACAGAGAACAGAAAAAACTTACATTTGCTTATATTTTCTAAGGACTTAAAAGAAATAAAACACAATTAGCGCAGAAGAAATACAATATTCCAAACTGCAACTAATATTCCAAGGTCAGGTGCTCGGGTTAGGGGAGGTGGTAAGAAACACAACTAAAACAAAAACTCCAGCACCAAATGGGCTATGCCAACACTGCTCTAAAGCAGCTCACTTAGGCCATTACCACAATACAGTGTTATTTTTTCATAACACTAACAAGCATCTGAAATTATTTTGTGTTTATATAACAACAGGGCCTGACCTTTTTCACTCCTATATTTCTGGAACTTAGAAAAGTGTCTGAACATGGTGGATATTCAGTAAGTATTTCTTTAATAACCATATAAAGACTTCTCATAACAACTTAGAATTTAAAAATCTGTTACAGACCTTTAGGGCTAAGAAACTTCAAACTAGGAGACTGCAGGTTTTTTGTGTGTAATAATATTTTTAAAATTCTTTTTAAAATAACATTTTAAAAATTCTTAATGTCAACATTTAAATATAGTGAGCCCAAATAGAATAATTTGGTTTTTCAGATTATCCCCTCTCCTTTGCCAAAAACCTGAGCACTGGGCATCCATTCCTGCACTGTTAACAATAGGCTGGTGCCATGGGGCACTTTAGATGGAGTGGACGTGCTTCAGTTCACCACAGTTGCCACTAGGGGACACTGCTCTCACTGACAATGTTCACCTGGCCCCTGAAAGCGTGTGAGTTTGTAACTCCTGCTTTGCCACCCAGGGACTAGCAATTTAGAATAAAACAAATGTGGTTATGGTAGGAGATTGGGGGGGGAGGGGGCGGAGAACAGGATTAAATAAATTCTAAAGGTCTTATTTGGCTTGGCTTGTTACTCTGATTTAATATCCAAAACTGATCAATACAGATACTAGAAAAAAAATCCATCAGTACTGACGAAGATATGTGATCTCAAGCCAGGTCATTATTTCCGGGAGAAGATATGAACACTGATATCAAAAATATAAGTCTTGTCAGCTGGCCACAGTAGCTCACACCTGTAATCCCAGCAATTTGGGATTGCTGAGGTGAGAGGATCACTTGAGTCCAGAAGTTCGAGGCTGCAGTGAGCCATGATTGCGCCACTGCATTCCAGCCTAGGTGACAGAGATTCATTTGGTATTTTTTAATAAATTAGAAGTACATCATATTGAAGCATGGTATATTAAAAACTGTTTCTACATAAACTGCTAATTTAGATGTTTAATCATCATTTCCACAAGTGAAGAATCTTGCTGTTTCTCTTACTTGGTCTTAATCATTTTCCAAAACCAGTAATTTTGCAGAGTGAAATAAAATTAGCTTCTAATAAGAACACAAGAGAAAAACTGAACTAAAAGTGATTCTCATATATAAAATTTAATCACTAAACTACAAATTTATCATCCAAATTTAGAAACTAAATTTAGAAACTAAATTTAGAAAACTATTTTTGGAAGCACTGGAAGTATATATTTAATCTGACAGACTATGAAGCACTGACACCTTGGCAGTGGTAATCAGATGGTAATTATTCCCTAGGCACAACTCCTAATCAATAAAAGTACAGTCATGTGCAGCATAACAACGTTTTGGTCAACAACACACTACATACTGACAGTGGCCTCAAGAGATTATAACAGAGCTGAAAAATTCATATTGGCCAGAGATGTCTTGATGTCTGACCCTGTGTAGGTCTAGGTTAATGTATGTGTCTCTGTGTCTTTTCTTTGAGGGGTCTCACTATGTTGCCTAGGCTGGTCTTGAACTCCTGAGCTCAAGTGATACCCCGGCCTCAGCCTCCCAAATAGCTGGAATTACAGGTGTGAGACACTGTGCCCAGCTATGTCTTAATTTTAACAAAAAAAGCTTATAGAATAAGGATATAAAGAAAGTATGTTTATACAGCTGTATGTTTGTATTTTAAGCTAAGTGTTATTACAAAAGAGTCAAAAAGTTAAAAGAAATTAAGACTTTACAAAGTTAAAAAGTTATAGCAAGGTAAGGTTAATTTATTGTTGAAGGAAGAAAAACTTCAAAAATAAATTTAGTGAAGCCTAAGTGTACAGTGTTTAGGAAGTCTACAGTAATATACAGTAATGTCCTAGGCTTTCACATTCATTTATCACTCACTCACTGATCACCCAGAGCAAATTCCAGTCCTGCAAGCTCCATTCATGGTAAGTGCCCTATACAGGAATACCATTTTTATCTTTTATGCCATATTTTTACTGAGCCTTTTCTATGTTTAGATATACATATACTTACCACTGTGTTCCAACTGCCTACAGTATTCAGTACAGAAACATGCTGTACAGGTTTACAGCCTGGGGCAACAGGCTATACCATATAACCTAGGTGTATAGTAGGTTATACCATCTAGATTTGTGTAAGTCCTCTACAATGTTTGCACAATGATGAAATTTCCTAACAATGCATTTCTCAGAATGTAACCTCATAGTTAAGAGACGTGTGACTGAAATTTTTAAAAGTCCTCTCAATACCAACGACTCTCTCAATGAGGGAAAAAAATGCTTATTTTCAAAGGCACAAATAGGAACTGTACTTATTCAGGTATTTCTGATCATCAATTACTGCTGCATCTATTAATTTTGATCTGTGAAATTAAAAATTATATGCTTTCTATTATCTACTTTTTCAGTAAGAATTCCTGGAACTCTGAAGGTTTGATAAGAATAGCTGAAGGGGCCGGGCACACTGGCTCACGCCTGTAATTCCAGCACTTTGGGAGGCCAAGGCAGGTGGATCACCTGAGGTCAGGAGTTCAAGACGAGCCTGGCCAACGTGCTGAAACCCCATCTTTACTAAAAATACAAAAATTAGCTGGGCATGGTGGCAGGCGCCTGTAATCCCAGCTACTTCGGAGGCTGAGGCAGAAGAATCACTTGAACCTGGGAGATGGAGGTTGCTGTGACCCGAGATTGCGCCACTGTACTCCAGCCTGGATGACAAGAGCAAAACTCCATCTCAAAAAAAAAAAAAAAAAAAAAAAAGCTGAAGAGGAGGGTATGCAAATACTATTTTTTAAATTTTAAAAAAATTTATCCTCTCCCTCCCCCTCCCCCTCCCCCTCTCCCCACGGTCTCCCTCTGATGCCGAGCGGAGGCTGGACTGTGCTGCCGCCATCTCGGCTCACTGCAACCTCCCTGCCTGATTCTCCTGCCTCAGCCTGCCAAGTGCCTGGGATTGCAGGTGCGCCGCCACGCCTGACTGGTTTTTGTATTTTTTGGTGGAGACGGGGTTTCGCCGTGTTGGCCGGGCTGGTCTCCAGCTCCTGACCGCGAGTGATCTGCCCGCCTGGGCCTCCCGAGGTGCCGGGATTGCAGACGGAGTCTCGCTCACTCAGTGCTCAATCTTGCCCAGGCTGGAGTGCAGTGGTGTGATCTCCGCTCGCTATAACCTCCACCTCCCAGCCGCCTGCCTTGGCCTCCCAAAGTGCAGCCTGTGCCCGGCCGCCACCCCGTCTGGGAAGTGAGGAGCGTCTCTAACCGGCCACCCCATCTGAGAAGTGAGGAGCCCTTCCGCCTGGCAGCCGCCCCATCTGGGAGGTGAGGAGCGCCTCCGCCCGGCAGCCGCCCCATCCGGGAGGTGGGGGGCGGCCCCCGCCCGGGCAGCCGCCCCGTCCGGGAGGGAGGTGGGGGGCAGCCCCTGCCCGGGAAGTGTGGGAAGTGAGGAGCCCCTCTGCCCAGCCGCCACCCCGTCTGGGAGGTGTACCCAACAGCTCATTGAGAACAGGCCATGACGACGATGGGGGTTTTGTCGAATAGAAAAGGGGGAAATGTGGGGAAAAGAAAGAAAGATCAGATTGTTACTGTGTCTGTGTAGAAAGAAGTAGACATAGGAGACTCCATTTTGTTCTGTACTAAGAAAAATTCTTCTGCCTTGGGATGCTGTTAATCTATAACCTTACCCCCAACCCCCTGCTCTCTGAAACATGTGCTATGTCCACTCAGGGTTAAATGGATTAAGGGCGGTGCAAGATGTGTTTTGTTAAACAGATGCTTGAAGGCAGCATACTCGTTAAGAGTCATCACCACTCCCTAATCTCAAGTACCCAGGGACACAAACACTGAGGAAGGCCGCAGGGTCCTCTGCCTAGGAAAACCACAGACCCTTGTTCACATGTTTATCTGCTGACCTTCCCTCCACTATTGTCCTATGACCCTGCCAAATCCCTCTCTCCGAGAAACACCCAAGAATGATCAATAAATACTAAAAAAAAAAAAAAAAAAAAAAAAAAAAAAAAAGTTAACTTTTCAGGATTCAAAAAATTTATTATTCACCTGGTTATAAAACTGGAACTTGCTCATGCCAAGATATAGAGATATAGAGAAATTTATAAAAAGAAAATAAAAATTATATACCATCTTACCAAGATTTTGATATATATCCTTCTAGTCTTTTTTTCTATTGCATAAATACAAATATTACGGCTTTTATTTTTTTTAAACAAATCTGTTACATTATATAAGCTATTGGGGTTTTTTAAAACAAACCTGTTATATTACATAACCTATTATGTAACCTGCTTCCAAATATGTTTCTAAAAACATTGGTTTTAAGTTGTTACCGTATTCTATTGTATGATCATAATTTATCTAAGCTCAATGGAAGAAATTTAGGTTGCTTCTCATTTCTTTTGTTGTTACAAGTAACACTACAACCAGCATCCATACAAATAATTATCAGTACATATTGCTGTTATCTTAGGATAAATTCTAGAAGTGAATTTCCTGGGTCAAAGGGATGTACTTGTTTAAGGCTTTTCATACATATTACCAAAATGCACCCCAGAAGGCAATGCTACTTTTCCTGTCAGTCAGGGAGATACTGTATTTTCTTTTACAGAAGAGAAGCCAATCAAACATAGTAATAAAACCATGGTCAACATTTAATCCTCCTGCCCAAAACAAAATACTGTTCTGTAAAACAACAGTGTAGGACATGACATTCTGAATAGGTTAAAATTGGTTTTAATTCAAGTTATTGTCTTTGCCAAACTGTGGACAGCTCTAATGCAAAACAAATTAACATTAGAAGACAGTAAGTAAGCAATTTAGTATTACAGATCTATATGTCTGGGAGAAGCTCCTCAGTCAACAAAGCTTCTGCTACCCAATGAAGCCTTCTCCAACTAATCTATGCTGATCCTGTCCTTCTGGAAACTCATTTCATTTACACAATTAATGCCAACATTTGTACTTACATTTTCCATTTTATGAATTTAAGTCTTGTTTCCCCAACATAAGGTAAACCTTCTTGGAAAACACACCTTGTAATTTACACTTTCCTGTATCTCTCAGTGTTTATATAAGTTGATCAGTTTTTCCTTCAAAAATTTTTCTTGGGAAGCCAAATTACTAAAAGGGATGTACTTTTGTAAGCTTACTTTGACTGTGCAGAGAAGTTTGCAGCAGCAAAAACAGCAGCTTCAACTTCTACATTATCATGTGAATCTAAACTCTGACGAATACTATGATGAGCATTCTTCCTCTCAGGAATTATTGATGCCAGACTTCCCAACATCCTACAGAAACAGAGAAACCCAAGAAGATCGGGCATAAAATAAAGTCAAGGTCAGAAAAGTAAGAGGCAAGGCAAAGTCAGATTATCAAAACTAAAGTTTATAGGTAATTCTATGTAACTCCAGTTAATAAAGCATAACTTTAGAAATCCATGACTCAAATTTTAAACGCTTTTACATATTTCAATATGTCAGAAAAATTAAAATGGCTTATCTAAAAAGCAAAATTTTTAACAATCACCTTGAAGTACCTCCCAGGTACCAAACAGCCCAGGAAGGAAACTTCTGAATTATTAAAGCATCAAAATATCAATTTTCCAATGTTGCATAAAGAAGTCCATTTCAGCAAAGCATTAAGAATACAACATTTTTGCTGTTAAGCAGATACACAAAGTAAAAAAAAGTAAGAGCTCCCAATCTTTTTTTCCCACATCAGTAAATATTGGTATGATGATTTTCAAATGTCCTCAAGATCAAGAAAGCAGTGGTTGAGGACGCCCCTGGGGCTCACACCAGAATCAACAACGGTGCAGAAGGTAAAGCTTGGAAAACACAGTCTACTTTATAATAAAATCATACATTTAGAAAGGAAAAAAATCTATTGTTTGTGGTATAAACTACAGAAAGTAGTTTGAAAAATCCTTTCAGCAGAAAGGCATACATTTTAGAAATTTGCAAAACACTGCAGTAAACAAAACCTACAATGTTCCTACAATGACAACCTTCTTCAAAGTCAACATCCTAAATAACCTTCCAATGTGACATGTAATCACCTAATTATTCCCTGTAATTACACTCAAAGTAGTACTGTTCCTAGTACTGTTAAAAATAAGTAATACTGTTAGTAGCAAGAAACTAAAATGGACTAAATATGTAATTTATATTTAATTTGAAGGTTTTGGAATTATACATCTTTCAAAAGAAATAACAAATGACTATTAATCTATTATACCAGAAAAGATTAGACTAGGCTAATACTGACACATTTAATGACTTATTCCCACTGCTTCCGGCTTAATTTTTCTCTTCCTACTTGAGTACCTCCTTCTAGAATGTTTACAAAACAGGTCCTATATGGCAAACCTCCTAAGGCCTTGTGTGCCTGAGAATCTTTTTATTTTACTACTCTTTTAAATGAAAACTGGATTAGATATAAAATTCTTGGCTCAATTTTCCTTTAATACTTATTGCATCAAGTGTTACTGTAGAAAAATCTGATTTCAATCTAATTTTTTTTTCCTTTAAAGTGATCCTTCTTTTTGGAAGCTTTCTAGAGATCGCTGGCTTTATTGATAACCACAGTGCTTAAAAAAAGAATTGAGGCAAAAGTCAATTGCCATGACTTAGAGAAGGGCAAGCATGGAAAATGATTAACATTCAAATATTAATCTACATTCTTATCAAAATATTCAGGCTAGCTCTAAATTATTTATGAAATTCATTCCACCAGTTAAATTCTATTCTTTTCTATTATCTTTTGATTAAAAAAAAAAAACCATGTTTGTGAAAACCAATTCAAACATTACCAAAAAAAGCCAAATGGAAAAGCCTCTTGTAATCTACAACCCAAAGACTCTACCAAAAATAATCACTGTTAACAGTATATATTCCTCTAGATTTTTTTCTGAGCCTATATAAACATATATATTAATATCAACTAGCAAAATGAGTTAACAAAATGGATACTATTTGACTACTTTTTAAAACAATATCTTTCTATGTCAGTATATATAGACTCACAACTCACTTTACTCTTTAAAAGTTATACAGTAGTTCACCAATAGCTATTCCCATGTCGATTTTTCCCCAATTTTTCATTCTACAAAAATGATACTATAATCATCTATATACATATATTCACCAACTTTTAAAAATGATTCATTTAAAAAATTCCTATAGGTATATTTGCTGAAGTAAAGGGTAAAAATACCTTAAATTTAAATTCTGGGACAGGTGCAGTGGCTCACGCCTGTAATCCCAACAATATGGGAGGCCGAAGCGGGCAGATCACCTGAGGTCAGGAGTTCGAGACCAGCCTGGCCAACATGGTGAAATGCTGTCTCTACTAAAAGTAAAAAAAGATAGTTGAGTGTGGTGGCGGGCACCTACAATCCCAGCTACTCGGGAGGCTGAGGCAGGAGAATTGCCTGAACCCAGGAGACAGAGGTTGCAGTGAGCCAAGATCACGCCACTGCCCTCCAGCCTGGGTGACAGAGCAAGACTCCATCTCAATAAATAAATTAATTAATTAATTAATTCGATTGAATATAGCTTTCAAAAGATGAAAATCAATGAACTGACTTTAAAATATCACATATTACTCACAATTTAATCACTCAAAAGGCAAAGAAATGACAAAAGCACTAAATTCTGAACAAGAAGGAAGAACTGATTCCTGATATGGAAAAAACGACACTCAGGGAAGATGTGACATCCCAAACTTCCTGGTTAAAAAGAAGACTGTCTGGGCAGGCTAGGTCAGAAATGAACACTATAATTTAGGAAAGTGAATTTCAAAAGATATAAAAAGTTATAGATATGATACTATAAATGGCAGAGCTAAAAAGAGAATATGGTTCAAGCTGGATATAAGGCTTACAAAATGAAATTCTAACAAATAAATTTTTTTAAATATGCCAAGAAAGAAAAGAAAAAGCTAAAGAAACTATAGTGGTTATATCTGATGTTCTCCAATGAAATCAAATATGATTTATCACATTAAAAATGATCACATAATCAAGGAAGAATATAGAAAACTGACAGAAAACATTAAGTACAAGGGCAGGAACACGAAGTTCAAAATGTGCTGAGGCTAAGCTATATTGAGATCCACCAAGTTATTTGATCAGAACACCTATCTACATAGAGATGCATTTCAAACACAAGTTAGGCAACAATTTATAACCAAAACAGTTAACACAGATGTTAACTAAAAAGCATTTGCAGACTGGGATAGTTATCACAGTTTTGCCTTGACTCTTAGTCAAAAAAACATAAACAACTCCTAATACTCAAAATGAAAAATGTAAATACACTGCCTTTTTTGTACATAATTACAGTTCAAATAATCTCATAGTGAATTATTATAATACGGTATATACCGGAGGGTGATGGCTCTTGCCACAGGATCATTACTATGAATCACAGAAAAAATTCTCTTCACAAATTCATCCACATTTAGAATCTTCTCCAAATGTTTCTCACTTTGTTGGGTAACTTTAAGAACACATAGCCTCAGGAAATTATTTCTAGAAAAACCAGAAATAAATTAGGTCACTTTAGAAAGTAATATTTAATTAGGAACCAAAGCAACACTAATAATATTAAATTTTAGCAACACACAAATATTTTTCAATCTTAACATTATTTGTTTAACTACTAAAAGAGTTAAAGTTTGTACTTTAGGTGGACATTAAGCATAAGCAGTGAGCTATGCTACAGTCTTGCTGCAAGACACCAAAATGGCAGTGACACAAGGAGAAGACCTAGAGCAGAACTAAATCTCCTCAAACTATATTATAACCAAGGCCAGGAAATCAGACGGTCTTTCTCTTCTCTTGGGCTTATTCCACAACTTCTTTTCTCCTTCCAGTGTGGTATTGTGTGCATATGAGCACGAGTGCATGGAGAATGGCAGAAAGCAGCAGAAGATGGAATGGTCGGGGGAGAAAAAGCAAATAGGCATGTATTCAGTGCTTACATGTTTCAGGTACTTCACAGACATGCATCTCATGCTATAAAATAAATTATTAAATTAAATCAGAAACTTCTCAAAAACAATCTGTACAAAGACACAGATTTTCCTGAAGTACACAGTAAAATATTAAGGTTGTCTTAATTTTATTCTGTTCTCCAAAGAAATAAGTATCGTCTAAATTATACTCTTCATTTTGCTTTAAATGTCATTAAATCTCACACTGATGTGCTGCACACAGTCATGTGTGTCCACTAATGGTAACTAACCAGGTGGAAGTACTAAAAGGCAAAAAGAAAAAGACCACAATATAAAACAAGAAATATGAACAAAGTACTTTAGGACATCGAGAATTTAAAAAGACTTACCCAACTCTGAAAACATCAGCTAACTTTAGGAATGCAGAATTGATAAGAATAGGGAATGGATACTTCTGAAAAAGTCTGGGAAAGCGAACAACTGCTTCACACTGTTCACCAAGTTTGCCAGATCTTAGGCCTATGGAAAAAAAAAAGCACAGAGAGGGAAGAACAGTTTGCATATTTGTGGCTACAAAGCAAAAATAGCAAATATAATTTACTAGATAGTAAAGAAATAATCATTCTTAAGAAGCAGGTAAAGTATAATTCATTACCCTTTTAAAAGTAAAAATGGTATATTGAAATAGTAATCTGGAAATCGCTACTTTTAGATACATAATAATGAAAAAAAATTTTTTAAAGGTAAGAGTTAAGAATATTCAAAGCCATAAAATAAATCTCAACACATTTAAAAGGACTGAAATCATACAACGTATGTTTTCTGACCACATGGAATTAAATTAGAAATAAGAAAAAAAAAAGCACGTTTAACCCATAGGTGGCTCATGCTTGTAATCTCAACACTTTGGAAGGCTGGGAAAAGAAGGACTGCTTGAGCTCAGGAGTTCATGACCAGCCTGAACAACACAGTCAGACCTCATCTCTTAAAAAAAAAAAAAAAAAAAAATCCAAGTGTGGTTGTGTGTGCCTGTGGACCCAGCTACTGAGGAGGCTGAGGTGGACGAATCACTTGAGCCTGGGAAGTTGAAGCTGCAGTGAGCTGTGATTGTGTCACGGTGCTCCAGCCTGGGCAGCAGTGCAAGACCCCATCTCAAAAAAAATTTTTTAATAACAAATAAATAAATAACCCACAGCTGAAAGAAGAAATTAGAAAAATATTTTGAACTGAATGAAAATAAAAGCACAATCTATGGGATGCAACTAGAGTAGTGCTTCAAGGAACATTTATAACATTGAAGGTTTATATCAAGAAAGAAGAAAGTTCTCAAATCAATGATCTAACACAGGTACCAACATAATTCAATGTGGAAACAATAATCTTTGAAACGTGATTCTGGAAAAACTAGATAAGCATAAGCAACAAGAATCAACCTCCACCCTTAACTTGCATCATACACAAAAATTAACTCAAAATGAACCACAGACCTCAGTGTAAGAGCTAAAATTATAAACTATGTAGAAGAAGACATAGAGACAATTTTTATGAGCTTAGGTTAGGCAAAGAATTCTTAGATAAAACAAAAGGCATAAACCATAAAATAAAAAAGTGCTAAGTTAAATTCCATCAAAATTTAAAACTTCTGCTCTTCAAAAGACACTGTTAAGAAGACGAAAAGACAACCACATGCTGAAAGAAAACATTTACAAAACACATATGTGATAAAGGACTTCATCCACAGTTGTTGTAATTCCATAATACAAACCAACTTTTTAAATGGACAAGAATTGAAGAGAAATTTCATTGAGGAAGAAATATGTATGGCAAATATAAGCACATGAACAGATGCTCAACAGTGTCATCAGGGAAATGACAATTTAAAACTCCACTAAGATACCATTACACATTCACTAGAATGGCAAAAACTTTAAAAAGACCAACAATGTCAAGTGCTAATGAGGATATGGGATAACTATAACTCTCATACCTTGTTAGTGGGAATGTAAAACTGTACAGCTCTTTTGACAACCCTCTGGCTCTTTCCTTTACTTTTCATTTTTCTTTTATTTTAGATTCAGGGGGTACATGTGCAAGTTTGCTAATGGGTATACTGTGAGATGCTGAAGTCTGGGGTACGCATGATCCCATTACCCAGGTAGTGAGCATAGTACCCAATAAGCAGTTTTTCAACTCTTCCCCTCTCCCTCCCTTCCTCCCTACTTTTAAAAGTCCCCAGTGTCTACTGTTCCTCTCTTTATGTCCATGTGTACCCAATGCTTAGCTCCCACTTATAAGTGAGAACCTACAGTATTTGGTTTTCTGTTCCTACATTAATCTGCTTAGGGTAATGGCCTCCAGCTGCATCCATGTTGCTGCAAAAGACATGTTTTCATTCTTTTTTATGGCTGCATAGTATTCCATGGTATATATGTACCATGTTTTCTTTATCCAATCCATGACTGACAGGCATCTAGGTTGATTCCACATCTTTGCTATTGTTAACAGTGCTGGGATAAACATATGAGTACATGTGTCTTTTGGGCAGAATGATTTATTTTCCTTTGTGTATATATCCAGTAATGGGATTACTGGGTTGAATGGCAGTTCTAAGTTCTTTGAGAAATCTCCAAACTGCTTTCTACACTGGCTGAACTAATTTATATTCCCACCAACAGTGTATATATAAGCATTCCCTTTTCTTCACAGCCTCACAGCATGTTATTTTTTGACTTTTCAATAATAGCCATTTTGACTGGTGTGAGATGGTATCTTACTATGGTTTTAATTTACATTTCTCTGATGATTACTGAAGCTGAGCATTTTTTTCATGTTTGTTGACTGCTTGTATGTCTTCTTTTGAGAATGCTTTTTCATGTCCTTTGCCCACTTTTTAATAGGGTTATTTGGTTTTTGCTTGTTGAATTAAGTTCCTTATAGACTCTAGATATTACACCTTTGTCACATGCATAGTTTGCAAATATTTTCTCCCATTCTGTAGGCTGTTTACTCTGTTGATAGTTTCTTTTGCTGTGCAGATGCTCTTCTGCTTAATTAGGTCCCACTTGTCCATTTTTGGTTTTGTTGCAATTGCTTTTGAGGATTTAGTCACAAATTCTTTCCCAATGCTGATTTTCTTCTAGGATTCTTAGAGTTTGAGGTCTTACATTTGAATATTTAATCCACCTTAATTTTTGTATATGGTGAAAGGTAGGGGTCCAGTTTCATTCTTCTGCATAGGGCTAGCCAGCTATCCCTGTACCATTTATTGCATAGGGAGTCCTTTTCCCATTGCTTATTTTTATCGACTTTGTTGAAGATCAGATGGCTGCAGGTGTGCAGCTTTATCTCTGGGTTCTCTATTCTGCTGTCTATGTGACTGTGTGTGTACCAGTACCATGCTGTTTTGGTTACTGTGGCCTTACAAAATAGTTTGAAATTGGGTAATGTGATGCCTTCAGTTTTGTTAGTTTGCTTAGGATTGGTTTGGCTATTTACGCTCTTTTTTGGTTCCATATGAATTTTAGAAGAGTTTTTTTTTTCTAATTCTGTGAAAAATGATGTTGATAGTTTGATAGTAATAGCACTCTGTAGATTGCTTTGGGCAGTTTGGCCATTTTAATGATATTGATTCTTCCAATCCATGAGCATGGAATGTTTTTCCATTTGTGTCACCTAAGATTCCTTTTGGTAGTGTTTTGTAGTTCTCGTTGTAGAGATCTTTCACCTCCTTGGTTAGATGTATTCCTAGGCATTTTATTTTTTGTTTGGTCTTTCTTAATGCAGGTAAACATACTATATACATAGCAATACTACTTTCAGCTATTTATCCAAATGAAATGAAAACATATGTCCACACAAACATCTGTATGCAAATATTCACAGCAGCTTTATTCATTAATAGCCCCAAACTGGAAACACATATGTTAATCAACTAGTGGATGAATAAACAAATTGTGGTATATCCATACAATGAACTACTACTCAGCAATAAAAAAGGAACCAGTTACTGATGCATACAACAACAAAGGTGGATCTCTGTTGTGCAGCTTTGAAATGATTACAAACACATAGTCTGCTATTGTGAGTGAAATTTTCTGCTGTGATAAGAACATGGAGTGTAATCTCCCTCCCTGATGACATGGCTCCTAGCATTGAAAATCTTGTTGTCATCATGGATCTCCACTGTTGGTCTGATCATCTCTCCAGAGAACATCTCATAGAAAGGTACACCTCAAACTTCAATTAGACTACATTCACAGAGGCCTGTTTCCATCCTAAATGCGCAACTAGACTTTACTAATTTGACTCTAAATGAAACTAGTATTCACTCACATGTGGTTTCTGGACTTTGTCTATCAAACGTGTTCCCTGTGAGATGTGTTCTTGTTATTCTCCCTCTCTAAACATTGTGAAAAAGGCAGGGAAAATTCTTTCTGTATGGTAATAAACTGCGTGATTTGTGAAATCATACCTTATTTTAACCACATAAAACGATCTCAAAATCATTATGCTGAGTGAAAGAAGCCAGACCTGAAGGACTACACTTAACTTACTGTATCATTCTATTTTATATGACATTATGGAAGAGGCAAAACTATAGGGATAAAAAACAGATTGGTGGTAGCCAGGAGCTAGAGAGAGGGAACTGACTGCACAGGGGCATGAGGAAAGTTTTTGGGGTAAAGGAAATATTCTATGTCTTGACTATGGTCATGGTTTCATGACTGCATACATTTGGTGAATTTTATCTGATACAAATTATACCTCACTAAATCTGATATTTAAAAAATTAAAAAAAAAACCCAACCAAGAAAAAAGAGTTAATATTCAATTTTCTAAAAAATGCATTAAGAATTTGCCCTTTCTTATGCCCTTTTAAGGTTGATGTGGTGCTTTAAGAAGCTAACATAGAAGGATAAAGTAAGTCTCTACAAAACCCAGAGAAGAGACTGGAAAACTCCTCTCTGGATCCTGCCTGGAGTCACAGCTGTACCAGGAAAAAAAAAAAAAAATTCACTAAGAATGAATACCTTGGTAAGGATTTAACAGCATCAATTTCAAATGTCTCTGTTTAGTATTTTACCAGTCACAAAATGCTGATTATGTCCTCACAGGAATAAGTATCTTAGAATATCTCTGTCCAGTAACCTTTGATTATTCTTAAAAAAAACAACAAAGGAGGCCAGGCACAGTGGCTCATGCCTGTAATCCCAGCACTTTGGGAGGCCGAGGCTGGCAGATCACCTGAGGCCAGGAGTTCAAGACCAGCCTGGGCAACATGGTAAAACCCCGTTTAAATACAAAAATTAGCCCAGCGTGATGGCAGGCACCTGTAATCACAGCTACTAGGGAGGCTGAGGCATGAGAACTGCTTGAACTCGGGAGGCGGAGGTTGCAGTGAGCCAATATCACGCCACTGCACTCCAGCCTGGGTGACAGAGACCCTGTCTCCAAAAAAAACAAAAAGACAAAGGAAATCTGAAGGCTTTTCCTAGTTGCCACAATGTTTCATACAAAAGACAACCACAAAGTAAAACTGCATAGGTAATTTCTATCATTTACTAATGGGTGATGTTCCGTAATGCACTCATGTTAGTTATTCAGTACTTAGAACATTATTTCCTCATAGGAAAATAATAGCACTATCGGCACTCACAGTACTCTGGAACCTAATAACCATTTATAATAAATGTTTCTATGGGAAAATTAATTAACATTTCTAACTGAGATAGAACACATCCCTCCTTCATCTGCTCCCTCCTCCCCTTCACCCTCTTACACACACAAAGAACTGCCTCTGAAGCTCTAGAAATCCTTTTCCTATCAAACACAACGCCAAAAGGGATAATTCTAAGTAGCTGGCAGTGTGGCTCATGTAGCCTTACTTTTCTAAAAGCCTGATATGAAAAACGGGTCAAGGGACACACAGGGCAGAGAAGGGGAAAGACATAGCTGAGGATGGAGGTGAGAAGGAACAGAGATGTGTGCTTACGTATATGTGTTGGCAAAGGGGTTGAAAAAATCCACAGTAATTGGATTGTTTCATTTTCTTCTCACTGTCAGTAGCTGAGTTAGATACAAAGGATGGTAAAGTTCTGTTTGTAATGAATTAACCTTGGCTGAGATGAAAAAGGCATAGTAGGAAACAGCCTATGTACAGGTAGTCTCCTTGACAGAATATAATCATGTTTTATCTTCCCTTGAAAAACAGAACCAAAGACCATATTGATTTGTTTAAACATGCTGATTTAAAATGTACCAAAGATTATTTTGAATGAAGCGAGAGAATGTTTTGATTTATCTAATATCATCAAACTTTTTTCTCTGAGATAAAATAGACTCTCATTCCTCTGTAACAACGCCACGGGGTAAATGAACTAAAGAATATTAAACCTCTTCTGTATTTTCTGATGTAAGAGCCCTCCTTAGGAAAGAGGTAGTGAGAATTCAGGCTGGCTCCGAAGGACAGGAGCTAAGGTGAAAAAGAAGGAAAAAGTGCTTTAAAGGCCTATTACTTAGCAACAGCCCTGGGTTGGGGTAGTATGGTACTCATCTTGCTTGCTCTAGGCCAATTTTGTAAGCACTGGAAAACAGGAGCTCAGCACGTTCCAGTTCTAGTATAAGAGGGGCTAGACATTTTATTTGTATTGCTTGCTACAGGAAGAATGCCCTGGTCATAAGACCACTAATCATAAGAATACTACTGTAAGCCCAGAGATAAGATTAAGAAGGAGGGATGTGATTGCTATACCTACATTTTATTTTGTATTCTTCCACCAAAAAAAAACAAAAACAAAAACAGATCTCTCTTCCTTTTCTGTGCCTGGACTTAAACAGTGCTTAACTCAGTTGCAACATGCATGTAGACCAGGGAAACTAAAATAGGCTGTAAAATCATTTATTCATTCAAAATTCATTTGGCAGTAGTAAAGCATTCATTATTCTAACATTATTTCGCACTTAAAGTGTGCAGAGCTTTTTGCCAGGCTAGTGGTTTTCAGCTTGGTTCTGCATCAGCAATATCTGCTAAGTTTTTGAAAAATATCTATGCTATGGGTTTTACTCCAAACCTACTAAATATATGGGGCAGAGTCCCAGGCATCTGTTTAACTACTTTGAAAAGGTTGGCATCGAGATTCCTTTTTTTTTTCTTGAGACAGTCTCACTCTGCCGCCCAGGCTGGAGTGCAGTGGCGCAATCTCAGCTCACTGCAACCTCCGCCCCCCGGGTTCAAGTGATTCTTGTGACTCAGCCTGCCGAGTAGCTGGGATTATAGGCGTGCACCATCACACCTGGCTAAGTTTTATATTTTTAGTAGAGACAGGATTTCACCATGTTGGCCAGGCCAATCTCAAACTCCCAACCTCAGGTGATCCTCCCGCCTCAGCCTCCCAAAGTACTAGGATTCCAGGCGTGAGCCACTGCGCCCAGCCAGCACCTAGATTCTCAAGTTAACTTCTGCCACTTGATAACTTATTTAACTAGCCTGCCCACACTGATTATACTGGAGTTAGAAAACTACTAGGCTGCTGAATTTGGTCCTCAGAATGCTTTTATCTGGCACAATGTTTTTAAAGGTTTCGAACACACTGTCAAGTTTTACAAATCATACTTCACATAAAACCCCAGGATCTCTGGTTTTAGAAAAGTAAAAGATCTAAAATCTTACTGAAGAAGGTAGAAGTGTCTGACCAAAGAAACATAGTAGTACTGCAGAAACATTACAGTACTGCAGGTCCATGTTGAAGGTCAGTGTAGATTCGGCTCCCATTTATGATGATAGCCATGTACCCCACTGTATGACTTTCTGCAGCAATTTTTGACTGCCTTTGGGGATACATGAGTAGAATGGAACCTTGGATGTGAATTTAAAGTACTGGTAAGAAAGTAAATGCAGTTAATAAAATGAAGGACCATGAAATCTAAGCTGAACAAAGAAGTAAAACAGGTACAGAAATGTAGAGAGGTGAAATACCGAGGTCTGAATGAAAATAAAGACTAGCCAAAATAGCAGTTAATCATAATGATAATGATGATACACATGAAGTGCTTATTCTGTGCCAGTCACTTTAAGCACTTTGCATGTATTAAAGTCTCACTAAAAATCACATAAATTAGGTACCATTATTTTCCCCATTTGAAAGGTGAGGAAACAGGCACAGACAAGCTAAGCAATTTGCGTAAGAAACAACAATGCTGACAAATGACAGAGCTGGGATTCAAATTCTGGCAATGTAGCTCCAAAGGCTATAGTGCTAACCACTATGCTAAAATGCATCTCTAGCAAGCAACTAGAAAGAAAGAGATTAAGATTCAAGAATGAGACATTTAAATTAGTGATTAAATGGTGGAATTCTGAGGTGATGAATTCTAGGGAATTAGGGGAATACCATAAATTATGGTAAACTTGGGGTTTGGGATACACATTAATCAAGTTTTCAAAACAGCACAAATCTCCAAGTAGCATCTATCAGCAGTTCTTAGCTGCAAGCAACAGAAGCTAACTCTGGCTTATGAGGCAGAAAATGAGTTTATTAAAAGCTTAAGAAACAATTTTAAGGCTAAATTTCTAGGAACACCTAATACCACACTACCCAACCAACTGGATGGAAGAACCCTGTCTTTGATAGGAAACACCAGATGCAACAATTAGCTCTGCTGTCATCTAGGAATATCGTAGCCATTGTTGTTGCTGCTGTAAGCTAGAAATACTGCTGCTGCCATGGCAGAACTGTGAGTGGACACTTCAACTCTTCCTTCTTGCATCTCTAACTTCTAAATCAGACAGTGTGAAGGAGGTGTGTCTGACTGGCAGAGCCTAAGTCAGATCCTGCACTCTTGCAAGGGAAACTAGGAAATAAGTTTTTGCTTCTACCTTAGTAAGACAAGGTTCATGATATGGGACATTCCTTAAGCATAAAAAGAGTGTTCAAAATATATTAAGCAACCATCAACATAACTAACATCCACTACAAAGAACACCACAAATAAAGCATTACCAAACAAACACAATTTAGGACAATTTGTGACATACATTTGCTTTAGCTAAGAGATGAGGATGATTCAAAATTGAACCATAACACGAACATATCTTAAAATCTATACATTAATAAAAGGTGTGTGGGGGGACATGGGTAGAAACATGAACACAAACATACAACCCACAGCTTAAAAAATTGATGGCAAAGCCCATTTTTATATTTAAAAAGCAGAAATAGAAACAAGTAAAATGACAGTGAAAACTAATGATGCATTAATAAGGCAGCATCCATCCCCCAAATTTCAGAAAATGTCTGTAAACGTACATGGCAAGATGTATGCAACATCATCCAGTATGCACATGAGAATACTAATCTAGAATTCTAAACAAATTTGAGTTTATGGATACCAACTTCTAGGAATATTTAATAACCCACTTTGCAAATTCCAAGACAGTAAATCTTAGTTATATATAAGAATGAGTCTGTGGGTTTCAGTAAAAACTTGAATTTTTGGATTAGTTCATAGCCCATCAAGGAATTACCAACCAGGCTGCTGGTTTTTATGTTGCATTAAGTTGCCCAGAGTCTCACCTTAGCTTCAATTCTACATGATTTTTTGTTTTTTTTTTTTGAGATGGAGTTTCATTCTTGTCGCCCAGGCTGGAGTGCAATGGCATGATCTCAGCTCACTGCAACCTCTGCCTCCTGGGTTCAAGTGACTCTCCTGTCTCAGCCTCCTGAGCAGCTGGGATTACAGGTGCCTGCTACCACCCCCGGCTAATTTTTGTATTTTTAGTACAGATGGGATTTCACCATCTTGGGCAGGCTGGTCTCGAACTCCTGACCTCAGGTGATCCGCCCGCCTCGGCCTCCCAAAGTGCTGGGATGACAGGTGTGAGTCACTGCGCCCGGCCTAATTCTATATGATTTTATAGGTCCGCTTCTCAACACTCTCAGACTAAGTGTGGTCTGGCAGCAGAGATTCTCAGGAGAAAGAATTTGACTCAGTGTGGGTCACATGCCTACTTCTGAATCAATCAGTTATGGTATGGAATTAGTCACCTGGAACAAATCTGGCTGCTGAGGCCTTTCTCTTGAGGAGGGCCTATGAAGATACTTCCCCAAAGGCCTCATATTTGTTTACTGAAACACCAACAACATCTGAGCCATATCGATAATGTAAAAGCAATCTGTGGTCTTTCTTGACAAACTTTCTTGATGGTCTGAGAATTCAGGTATTTTGGAATACAGGTGAGGTGACACCGTCTAAGGGGGAAATTAGAGTGCAGAGACAGTTGTCCTGATTCACATCATTTCTCTATTTCATAACTAAATTTTTCATTAAGCACACCATCAAGGTTTTTCACACAGCATTACATTCACCAGCACCTCTAGTAACAAATCTATCCTCTATATTTCCTCCCTTCCCATTGCATCAGCTGCAAGAAAGGGAATGAGTCACTGCTCTCTTCCCCATTGCTTTCATCTCATCCTTTCCAAGGTCAACATTGCAGAAGGCAGATAGGCTGAATAATATCATTTAAGAGACTCCTCTTTTCCCAGGGGGAAGGAGATCTTGCATAAGTTTTCCCAAATCATCAGGATAACCTTCCATCAGCTGATCTAAAAATGTTTAGACTAAGAAATTATATTAGTGAAAAAGTTACACTAATTTTTGTGAGATGCATCCTTTATATTGCCAATTATGTATAGTAATGATCATATCATGAAATGTGTCAGATAAACATAAGCTGTAATGTATTTGATTATGACACTTAACTCTGCTTGTGTATGCTCAGTCTTACAGAAGCTCAAGCAGCATGGCCATCAGCCTACAACTTTCAATGCCTTCCCATTGCACTCTGCACAAAATCCAACTTCTTGTCCTGACTAACGGCACCACATTTGATCTAGCATTGTCCATCTCCTTACATTTGTATGCAATCTCCTTAAAGATGTCTTGTTTGCCAACATAGCCCCTAGTCTGAGTATAGAGCCTGAGACAATGCAGGTGGTCAGTAAATATCTGTTGAGTAAATGAATGGCTATCACATGAAGGATGATTTTCCTGTTACTAACTACATCCTAAAGTAATGGAATTGAGTCAGCTTCAAAATAGTATTCACTTATTCCTATAGAGATCAGAAACAATCAGCTTACTGCCAATGCTTGCTCAAAAGGCTCAGAATAAAGTACAACAGTTATAAATATATAACAGGTTATGAATGGCAGCATTTCCTGAGTGTGTTTCTAAGGACACCAGTGCCACAAAATATTTCTTTAAAATAGCGTTCAAAGGTTACATCTTATGCCTAACTGACTAATCATCTCCATTTGGATGTCTAAGAGACATCTCAAATTTAACATGACCCAAACTGATTTGATTTCAGTAAACAATACATACATCCTCCCAGTAGCTCATACCAAAAACCTCTAAGTTTTCTTGACCACTTACTCTTATATCCTCATCTAATCCATTAGCAAATCTTCTTGGCTCTACTTTGAAAGTATATCCAGAATCTCAGCACTTCACACATTTTCAGTGTCACCATCTCGGTCTAAGCCACTATTTTCTTTTCCCTGGATTGTTATAGTTGCCTTCTCATTGGTCTCCCTACTTGGGTCCCTGACCCTCCCCACTTCAGTCTATTCTCAGCACAGTAGCCAGACTGATACTTTTCAAAGGAAAGTCAGATCATGTCACACACCTGCTGAAAATCCTCCATGGTTTCCTTTCTCACTCAGAATGAAAGCCAGTCCTTTTGATGGCTTGCACGGCCCTACCTGAACGGGACTCTGGTTATCTTTCTTTTTTTTTTTTCGAGACAGTCTTGCTCTGTTGCCCAGACTGGAGTGCAGTGGTGTGATCTCGGCTCACTGGAAGCCCCGCCTCCCAGGTTCACGCCATTCTCCTGCCTCAGCCTCCCAAGTAGCTGGAACTACAGGTGCCCACCACCACGCCTGGCTAATTTTTTGTATTTTGTTTAGTAGAGACAGGGTTTCACCATGTTAGCCAGGATGGTCTCGATCTCCTGACTTCGTGATCCGCCCGCCTCAGCTTCCCAAAGTGCGGGGATTACAGGCGTGAACCACCACGCCCGACTGACTCTGGTTATCTTTCTATACTCATTGCCTATTACTTTGCTCCAGATAACTGCATGCAAAGGAGGCTTCTACCTCAGGGCCTTTGTACTTGCTGTTCTTCCACTTGATTGAGGAGGTCTTTCTTGCCTATACTTCATAAAATAAGAAATCAACTCCAGCCCCAGATCAGTTTTCTCCAGTCCCTTTCATTGCTTCATTTTCCTTTATAATATGTATCACTAACTGTCACGTTTGCTATATTTGCGGAGTGTCTGCATCTGCTGTCTAGAATGTAAGCTCTATAGGGGCAGGAGTTTTGTCTCATTAACTGCCATGTTCCTAGTACAAAGCCCGATCAAATAAGTCATGTGTCTGAGTGTGTATGCTGAGGTGGGGGAGATATTTCAGAAACAGTATTCCTTGGAGTTTGGGAACGAAAAAAAGAGTTGGAACTTGTAGCCTTCTGACCTTTAGCTCACAAAACAGAAATACTTTAACAGGTACAAGATGAAATGACTCAATATTTAAAATACTCAACTATATTCTACACGAAACTGGCTATTTCTATAACTTAATTTCCTAACAGCTTTAAAAGTTACTACAGATGAGATGAAAAAGAACAAGTCATCTTTCTGAGCCTGAGATTCACCTGTAAAACACTCACGCCAGGCATTGCTGGGAGGAGTGCAAATGATCACTTACTCTGTGTCTAAGATTGACACCTGATTTCTTTCCTATAGATATAAAATATTTTCATTTCAACTCTTCTTTAAAAAGGAAAAATTGTGGTTTTTTTCTTACAACTGCAAAATTTGAGGAATTAAACCATTCTAGACTCCTCTTCAGTGCCCCATCTTTATCCCTGTTCCACAACCACTATCCTATTGTCAGCATGAGACAAGCTCAGCTGCACCAGAATGGTAGAAAATGTCCTTAGAACTCGTAGGGATATTAGATATTATCCTGACCTGTAACTTTCACTGAGGAATAAGAAAGAAATGTATCAGAATGAGGAGGAAAGTGTTTGAAAAACACATTTAAGGCCGGGCGCGGTGGCTCATGCCTGTAAATCCCAGCACTTTGGAAGGCCGAGGCGGACGGATCACCTGAGGTCAGGAGTTGGAGACCAGCCTGGCCAACATGGTGAAACCCCGTCTATACTAAAAATACAAAAATTAGCCGGGCGTGGTGGCGGGCGCCTGTAATTCCAGCTACTCGGGAGGCTGAGGCAGGAGAACCGTTTGAACTCGGGAGGCGGAGGTTGCAGTGAGCCGAGATGGCGCCACTGCACTCTAGCCTGGGCAACAGAGCAACACTCTGTCTCCAAAAAAAAAGAGAAAAACACATTTAGTATTATACTTTTTTTTTTCAGAGGAGAAAACCCCTAAAGATTTGGTAAGAGAAGGAAAAGTTCAACATAATTTTCTTGGTTGATGGGGGTGCACTAAAGATACTGAGACTCAACCAAAGGAATATCCCATTAGGGGGCTGTGAAATTTTTGTGTTTATCAAAATAAGGTAAAAGCTTTTTTAAGAGCCTGAGAAACTCTTATTTAGACTAACCCACTAAAAATATTCACAGTTTAAAAAATAAACAGAAAAAGAGTCCCAAAAAAGTTAATAGACATGTCCAACTCAGAAAACTGGGAAGTGGCTCAAACCCTTCTGAGTTCTAGTCCAGTTCTCCAACATTATATATTGGCTACGATTAATCAAGATTTAATTGTATACCAGCTGCCGAAATGTTTCCCGTACAATAAAAATCCTCAATATGAAATAAAGGTTTCATATTACTAGTCGAGTTCTTTACTAACAAATTTCCGACCTTGCCTCCCATATCCACATCTAAGAAGGGAGGTATATCTCTTCAGCATTTACTAAATGCTTCTTTTGCATACCATTAAGTCACTTAATACAATTCTGCCGGCTCAATGGTACTGTACCCACTTTGCAGACGACAAGCCGAGGCTAGATGAAGTTAATCATAAAATCAGCGGCATTGAAACTTAACTCAGTGTAACCCCAAAGCTCCCTCTACACCAAGCTGCTCCCTGTACGGCAACAGAACTCCTGGAACTTGTCCGCAGAGAATGAGCAGGGCCCTTGCTTTTTTATGGTCTTGGCCAGGTTTAGCCTGCCTTGTAACCCGCAGGTAACAGAGCTATGGAAATCAAATGAATCGCTGTCAAGTCGGTGCAAGATTACTATTCAGCACATTTCATGAAGACCTGGTCTCAACTGAACAGACTGAAAACCAATTTCACAATTTCTTTGCAGTGTCTCTTAGAAACTAGCCACTGTCACTGCTTAGAAAATCGGGGGACTGCTCCCTCAAGTGGTCAAAACGGGCCTCTCACTAGAGCTCGCTACTTGTTTAGCCGGTATAAGGCCAGTCACACAATCCTGCAAATTTCCCGCAACCTCCCGAAGGGGTCAAAGCCCACGCCCCAGCAAAAGCACAGGCGCTCCCCGCCCAGCGAAGACATGCGCATGCGCCTATCCGTCTTCTCCCAAAGCAACCACCACCTGGTGGCGCCACTTCCCCCCACGCCTGTTTCACCCATTCAGCCCTCTCTTTCGAATACCTTTGTCCAATTCCATAAGGGCAGAGTTGGCATCCAGTTCCTGTTCGCCATAGCCGGCATCTGCCAGGAAAGACTTAGTTGAGTTTGACGCCATGACCCGAATAGTTACTCGACTAGCCTAGTCAGAAAGCTTGCAAACTCTACCCCAGGACCGCCATCTTCCCCCGCCGCCTTCTTGCTGGTTTTTCTTCCGCGCGCTGTCAAGCCCTGTTACGCATGCGCCCTGGTCACCCCGCGGTTTGTCCGCGCCTCTGCTACCCCCTGCGCAGGCGCTCAAGGAGCTCTTGGACTCCAGGTTCCCGCGGCTGGGAGAAAAGGAGGCGGGGATCCGAAGGGGGAAATGACTCTGAGGCGCCCGGACGTCGCTCGGAAGCCAATCAGAGAGCGTGACGTCAGTTTGGCGCGGAGTTTGGCGGCCGGGGCTTACAGTGGCGGGAGTTGGAGGCGATAACGATTTGTGTTGTGAGAGGCGCAAGCTGCGATTTCTGCTGAACTTGGAGGCATTTCTACGACTTTTCTCTCAGCTGAGGCTTTTCCTCCGACCCTGATGCTCTTCAATTCGGTGCTCCGCCAGCCCCAGCTTGGCGTCCTGAGAAATGGTGAGTAACGGTCCCAACCGCTGCTCGGAGCTGGCGGAATTCATTTCCCCCGAAACACACGCCACCTCCGACCAGGGCCGACTCCAATTCTGAACTCAGCTTCTGAGTTCTCCCATGGCAAGGGTAAATTAGTGTTAGCAGGGACTACTAAAGAAAGCTGTACTTTCATCCCCTCGGGACACTTGTAATCGTAATCGGGCTTTTAAAATCGTAACGTAGGCAGGGACGTCGAAATAACTGCCTTCCAAGGCCCCTTACAGCTTACATCTCCATTGCGCGTTAACGGGAAAATGCATGCATTTGTGTGTATATGTTTCCTTCAACGGTTATTTGAGATGCTCAAAACTCCTAATCATTGATTAATTCATTCGTTTGTTGTAGAATCTTAGTGAGCCCAGCTATGTGCTATAGGTATATACCAGTGAATATGACCCGCTGTTAAGGAACTCAGTCAAGCAGAGAAGACAGGATATCTGCTTCTAACAGGAACAAAATCTTATTTTCCCCGTTTACTACACGGTCATAAAAATTTAAATTATAGAGTGAAAGATGCCTGTAACCACATCCGCCAGAGATGACCCCTGTTAATAGATTGAAGTATATTATTCCAGATGTTTTCGACGCTAGAGGTAATACCTATTATTTTCAGAAATCGGATCAAAACGTCCAGTTTTTTCACTTTAATGGTATAAGTTGAACGTATTCCCATGTTAATACGTAGAAATCTAACTTATTTTCTTACGCTAAAACATTGGCAATAAGAGATTTGAGGTTAGATTTGGATGTCATCAACTTAAACTTTTTGGTAAGTTTCAGATAAGGGAGCTAACTACCCAGATTAACCTTGGACAGAAATAAAATCTCACTCATGTGAAGGTCGACTATAGCCAGAGGTTCTTTTTCCCCTTGAAACTATGTGGAAAACGAACCTGAGAAGGGAATTTTTATATTCAGCGATGAGTCTAGGAAAATAATATTGAGAAAGAGACTGAGAAGTAGTCCCTCAACTTCCTGCTAGCAGTCTGAAACTTTATACCATCCTTATTTATTTCCCTCTTAGATAATCTTTGTAATTATACTTAAATGCTCCTCTTTCTGTCTCTCCTGGGACCTTGTTTGAGTAACTTCTTTGTCCTCTGTTTAAGAGTGACAGTACGCACAGTGGCTAAGAACTCTGTCTTTGAAGTTAAACTGCCTGGGTTTTATTATACTTCCACACCTTACTATATGTGTGTTCTGGGGGAGCTGTTCAGCCTCTATTTTGTGACAGATTTTCTCCTAATTCTCCATGTGTTTACCTTTCCCTTCCCTCTTTCCTATTCTCAAGTACTCATTCGTTGTTACATAATAGTCACTGAAATTCATTCGTTATTATATGAAATCTATAGAATCATCTCCTTTCCTCTTCAGTGTTGGTGTTCCATCCTTGACCCCTTTTCTTCTTCTACCTACTCCTTTGGATGATCACAGCCACAACCAGGGCTTCTTCCACTTCTACATACATACAACCTTCTGTTACTTATATAGTAAGTCCTCACTTAATGTCTAGATAGGCTCTTGGAAACTGTGACTTTAGGGAAAACAGTGTATAACTAAACTAACTCTACCATAGGCTACTTGATATAAATAAGAATTGTTTCAGTGGCATATTTTGGTCACACAAACACCACCGAACTTCTAAAGAAAGACTCAAAGTACTTTTAATATTAAATGTTGAAATAATTGTGTGCTATACATATATTTGAGAAAGATTAATAAAAACAGGTGAGATAATTATCCAAGTTTTGGTGTATCAGCGAGTGACCTCGGTCATAGTGGTGGTGGGCTAAATCAAGGAATAAATGTTTGCAAAGTGAAAATTGGAAGGAGCACCTCCTACCACCACCCAGGTCAAAAACAATCACAAATATGGCAGCTCACTGAGCCCTTTCATACCAAATCGTTTATTGTCATTCATTTGTATGATTATTGTAAAGTTTACCCATTTTTATTTTACAATGATTTGTATTCATTCATTTTCTGACACACTTATTCCAGCTCAGGGCTGTGGGTGCCCGGAGCCTATCCTGGCAGCTCATGGTACAAGGTGGAAACCAGCTCTAGACCAGACACTATTTCATCACAGGAAGCACTCACACACACTCATTGTCTACTGGGACCATGTAGACACACCAGTGAACCTAACATACACATCTTTGGCATGTGGGAGGAAACCAGAGTACCTGGAGAAAACCCCTATGAACATGGGAAGAGCATGTACAAACTCCACACGGCCAATGGCCTCAAACAGGAATTGATTTTTTCCTCATGAACAGTATAACGAAATGACATTGTACAAAATTATGTTATTGGAAGACTTCCTGTACCTGAGATTCATTTCTATAAAAGCTGTGTGGGTTGATTAGCACCTAGACGGTCAATCCCACAAGCATCTCAAACTCAAATACCCAAAACTGAACTCAGCTTTTCCCCCAAACCTGCAATATTACCAATTTTAGAGAGTGGCCTCATTATTTAAACCTGCCAGAAACCTGAGTAAATTAAAGACTTCTTCATCTTCCTCACAGTTACACATTCAAAACATTTCGTTAAAATCTCTTGAATCCATCCTCTCTTCTTTATCTGTTATGATTATGCATCTTTACTGTATGCTGGATGTGTTCTATTTTTACTATTCCATTTCCCTAGGTTGGGCCCTAATGCCTTCTTGTCTGGATTGTAAGAAGTCTCCCAGATGGCCTCCTAGTTTGTCTGTCTTCGGTTTATTCTCCACATTGCTGCTAATGATCCTTCTAAAATGGAAATCTGATTACTCTTCTGTGTATTTTTAAATTGATATCTAAAAGTTTTTATTATAAACTTAAACAAATGCAAAGAATATAATTTCTGACCATATTGGGAATATTGACATTTTAAAAATAAAAATGCTATATCACTCCTTTAAGTGTATCTAATATAATTTAAATACTATAGTGATTTGATAATCACATCATCCATTTTTTAGAAAAATACAAACTCCTCTTTATCTGCTGGACATTCCATATAGCTGCTTTTTCCTCTTGAATTTATTTCCATTTCATTTCTCCTACAGAATTTCTCCTAATGTAATTTAATTTTATGCTTGAAAAGCTCTTTTACTGATCACTCTGTCATACCCTTCTGTGTCAAAAAATGTGTTTAAATTGCTGTTTTCTGTCATAAGCCTCCAAGTATTAAAACTTCTTTATGGATTGAATTTTCAATTCAATTATTAGTACTATATGATTGATTAAAACAATATAGATTACCAATTTTGATAATTATTAACCAAAAGTAAAATTTTATTGGAAGTCCATCTTTTTAAAGAGATGAATTTGGGTGTTTATGGTCCCTTTATTGAAGGAATTATTTAATTATCTCTTAGTTAAGGTTCCACCAGTTTATTTGTTTTTATTTAAAAATATTTGATACCCAAAAGTTTTTATTCTTTGGATCAGTGCAAGGTTTAAGATTGGGGCACGGGAATGCCTTTCTTTTATAAAGTGGAAGAAAGGAAGTGATGAAGGGAAAGGGAAAAAGTGGTACCTCAACCTTCTCAGAGACATCAGGTTTTTCAGACAGGTGAGTTTTAGAAATGCGTATATAGTCATCCAATTGCTTATAAATGGAGATAACATTTTGAGAAATGCATCATTAGGTGATTTTATCATTGTGCAAACATCACAGAGTATAAACACAAAGCTAGATAGTGTAACTACTACACACCTAAGCTATATATTTTTCCTAGGCTATAAACCTGTGTAGCATATTACTGTATTGAATACCGTAGGCAACTGTAACACAATGGTAAGTATTTGTGTATTTAAACATAGAAAAGGTTCAGTAAAAATAGGATATAAAAGATAAAAAATGGTAACACCTGTGGAGGGTGCTTACTATGAATGGGAGCTTGCAGGACTGGGGGTTGCTGTGAGTGAATCAGTGAGTGAGTAGTCAGTCAGCACGAAGACCTGGGACATTATACTACTGTAGACTTTATAAACACTCTATACTTAGGCTGCATTAAATTGATTAAAAAATACTTTCTTCAATAATAAATTAACCTTAGCTTACTGTAACTTTTAAACTTACAAACATCTTAAATTTTTTAACTTTTTGACCCTTGTGGTAACAGGTAGCATAAAGCACAGACACATTGTATAATTGTACAAAATATTTTATTTCTTCATATTCTTATTCTATAAGTTTTTTTATTTTAAATGTTTTTCTTTTCTTAACTTTTCAAACCTTTTGTTAAAAACTAAGACACAATAGGAATTTTTAAGCTCCATTATAATGTTGTAAGACTACCATTGTGTATGCGGTCTGTCTTTGGCCAAAATGCCATTACATGGCATATGACTGTATATCGTAGTTGAGTACAGTAGTACCTCCTTATCCTTGAAGGATATGTTCCAAGACCCAACCCTATGTATGCTGTGTTTTTTACTATACAGACACATACCTATGATTAAGTTTAGGCACAGTAAGAGATTAACAATAACTAATAATAACATAGAACAATTATAACGATATTCTGTAATAAAAGTTATGTGAAGGTGGCCTCTCGGAATATCTCATGGTGCTATATACTTGCCCTTCTCATGATGATGTGAGATGATATAATACCTACAACATGAAGAGATGAAGTGAGATGAATGACGTAGGCAGGCACTGTGATATAACATTAGGCTACTACTTCCAACTATGTGACAGACAAAGCAGCTTCTATGTGATATAACATTAGGCTACTACTCCCAACTATGTGACAGACACAGCAGCTAAGTGACTAAAGAGCAGGTAACGTCTATGGCACTGCTACTCTGGACACAGGGATGATTCATATCCTGGACAGGTCAGGGTAGGACAGTGTGAAATTTTCTTGCCACTCAAAATGGCACACAATTTAAAACATGAATTGTTTATTTCTGGAATTTTCAGTTTAATAGTTTCAGACCGTTGTTGACTATAGGCAACTGAAACCACAAAAAGCGAAACCACGGGTGAGGGGTAACTACTGTATCTGGAAATTGAGTCTCTGAAAACTCTCATGTTCTTGTATACTACTTGGAATATGTGCATGTAACTCCAGGGGCTTAAGTTGTACAATGAGGAAATAATAGCTTTTTCCAAATGTGTTGTGGAGGAAAGCATTACAGTTTCATGTTCATAACACAATAAGGATCCAAAAGTAGCTTAGGGTGGTTCATCAGTGAAGTGTGTATTGCAGGGATTGCATAAGTAGAGGGGTAGGCAAGGACCAATCACTCACCATTCATTGGTGTTTGGATGTTAATTATAGGCAGTGAGGCAGAGTTAAAGAGTCATTGTTTAATTGTAAAAAATTGTAGGTTTTTTGGAGTGTATCATCTTCATTTCAACCAAGTTGTTCAAAAGTCCCTTTTGAGTTTTTATTTTGCAGTTGATTTTTTTTTTTAATTCCAAAACGTGTATATTTACATAACCTTTGAACAGAGGCTTTTGTTTTTACACACTTATTCCGTAGGTTAATACTTGTGACCTCAACATAACTATTGCATTTTTGGCGGGGGGGTGGGGGGTGGGGACGGAGTGTCGCTGTGTTGCCCAGGCTGGAGTGCAGTGGCGAGGTCTCAGCTCGCGGCACGCTCCGCCTCCCAGGTTCACTCTATTCTCCTGCCTCAGCCTCCGAGTAGCTGGGACTACAGGCGCCTGCCACCACGCCTGGCTAATTTTTTTTTTATGTATTTTTAGTAGAGACGGGGTTTCACCGTGTTAGCCAGGATGGTCTCGATCTCCTGACCTCGTGGTCCGCCTGCCTCTGCCTCCCGAAGTGCTGGGATTACAGGTGTGAGAGACCGCGCCCGGCCTATTGCATTCTTTTAGTGGTCTTTAACAGCTCCTTTACAATGATATGTGATGCTGAAATTATGACGTGATGGCCCCAGAACTAATTAAATTTGGATTAAATTTCTTTGGTGCCCTTCTGTTGATTCATTCAGATTATGTCTATGAACATCCAAATGTAGATTTGTCTGAGGTTATGTCAGGCTAAGATGTATTCTCCACATAGTACTTTTGATGAAAAGTGAGGATTCAGAGTACCCTAAAATGTGAGTTTGTTAATTATTTAAGATGCTTTCAATAGATTGTAAACTCAGTGTTTCCTCCAATGCTTATTGAACATTTGGTTTTCAGTAATTACTTGTTGAATGAATGTTTATTTTATATATTTAAAATGTCTTGATCACAAATCAGTATAATAAAAACAAATCTCTGAAGATGTCTTTACTATGTAGGAGCATAGTGCACATTAGACCTCTGACCCAAGCAGAATAAACTTTTCTTCTACCCTGAGTCTCTTGTTCTCTGTTCTAAATTCAGTGAAAATTTACCCATCTTTCAAGACCTCCTGTAAAGACTCCCTGACCCACTACCACTAGCCAGGGCTAATTAAATGTTTTCTAGGGGTAGGTACATAACACTTCACTTTACAATTTCTCTAATATAATTTAAGGTACTATAATTGCTGCTATTGACATTTTAGATTCCTACAATTTCAGCACTAAAGGAAAACAGAAGTAAATTTGGTGAATATGTTACTGGCTATAGTAGCTGCATTGACATATTATTTTCTTTGGCTCTTTGACCATTGGATTTTGTATGATGTTCTGGAATAAGAATTTAATTGAAGGGGATAGCAGTTTTAATGGAATGCTTTTGTGGTTGTCTCTTTGGTAGGAGAAGGGGGAAGATCTTTCTTAATATGCAGAGGCCTCTTGTTTCTTCTAATCTCAATGTACTAGTGAGAGTCTCCATTTTAGATAGTAAGCCCAAAGCTATACCTCCCCAGAAGTTGGAAGTGCTCTTTCATTTTTTCCTTAGGACTCCTTAATGAAATAACAGAAATGGTGTCTTCCATAGATATTAATAGTAAGTGGATCTATGTTAATATCTAAAGTTTCTTAAGGACAAATATTTACCTCTGAATTTGTTAAAAATGCTGAAATGTGATGCTGTATTGGAATTCTATAAGGAATTATCTTGTTTTAGGATGGTCTTCACAATACCCTCTTCAATCCCTTCTGACTGGTTATCAGTGCAGTGGTAATGATGAACACACTTCTTATGGAGAAACAGGAGTCCCAGTTCCTCCTTTTGGATGTACCTTCTCTTCTGGTAAGAGAATTACTATCTAGGCAAGGCTTGGACAGAAATGATCTATTTCACACTTATAGGGAAAATATACTAGAGTATTTCCCTTTCAAAGAAAAGTAAATTAGGTGGATGTTAGAGTTTTTGTAAAAACTGTTATCTTCTGATTTATAAAATAGACTTTTCTTAATCTCTATACATCATTAGCATAACTATATTTCCTCTAAAGCATAGGACTATTATAGCACTATTTTTAAAAAATCAATATAAGGAAGGGGTTGCAAAGGTTCAGCTACTATGAAAACTGTTTTATCCAGTAGATACATACCCTTTGATCTGGTTGAATGTATCTTTCTGTGACTCATTGGGGAATATATGAACAGAAATAGAAGTACTTCAGCCAGGCTCAGTGGCTCACACCTAAAATCCCAGCACTTTAGGACGCCAAGGTAGGTCTGGGCACAGTGGCTCACACTTGTAATCCCCGAACTTTGGGAGGCCAAGGCGGGTGGATCACTTGAGGTCAGGAGTTCAAGGCAGCCTGGCCAACATGGTGAAATCCCATCTCTACTAAAATTGCAAAAAATCAGCTGGGCGTGGTGGCGCACCCCTGTAATCCCAGCTACTTGGGATGCTGAGACAAGAGACTCACTTGAACCTGAGAGGCAGAGGTTGCAGTGAGCCAAGATCGTGCCATTGCATTCTAGCCTGGGTGACAGTGAGACTTCATCTCCAAAAAAAAAAAAAAAAAAGAAATAGAAGTATTTGTCTCCACCCATAATAGTTTGAGAGGAAAGAAAAAGTTGTGACAAGGAAATTTAAAACTAATAGACTCCTTATAAAAATTAGCCGGGCATGGTGGTGCATGCCTGTAGTCCCAGCTACTGGGGAGGCTGATGCAAGAGAATCGCTTGAACCTGGGAGGCGGAAGTTGCAGTGAGCTGAGATCACGCCACTGCATTCCTGCCTAGGTGACATAGCGAGACTGTCTCTCAAAAACTAATAGACTATTACATAGTCATGATTGTGGTAAAAATAAGTAAATAAAAATATGGTTAAAAAAACTAATAGACTCAGCCTGCTGGCAGCCTACATCATCATATGCCTTTGTTTGCCATTGGCCAGTACCACTCTTGTTTTAAGTACTACCCTCGATTTAGCCCTTCTCTAAATAAGAGATTATCTGAAGAAAATTTTGGTGGTTTTGAGTAAGCTTAAAAATTTTTGTAGCTAGGCATGGTGGCTCACGCCTGTAATCCCAGCACTTTGGGAGGCTGAGGTGGGTGGATCACTTGAGGTCAGGAGTTCGAGAGCAGCCTGACCAGCATGGTGAAACCCCATCTCTAGTAAAAATACAAAATTAGCTGGGCGTGGTGGCGCATGCCTGTAATCCCACCTACTTGGGATGCTGAGGCAGGAGAATCACTTGAACCCAGGAGGTGGAGGTTGCAGTGAGCCAAACTGCACTATTGCACTCCAGTCTGGGTGACAGAGCAAGACTCCGTCTGAAAAAAAAAAAAAAAATTGTGTTACTCTATATATTTTTTTCTTTATTTCTGCTTTAGCTCCCAATATGGAACATGTACTAGCAGTTGCCAATGAAGAAGGCTTTGTTCGATTGTATAACACAGAATCACAAAGTTTCAGAAAGAAGTGCTTCAAAGGTAAGTCTAGGTCTACAATTTTTGTTTTAACATTTAAAAAACTTTACACATCCTCAAGTATATTATTATTTGAACACATTCTGTTTTAGTCTGTCTTCTGTTGCTATAAAGGAATAACTGAGACTGGGTAGTTTATATAGAAAAAGTTTACTTGGTGTGTGATTCTGCTGGCTAGAATAGTAGACATCTGGTGAAGGCCTCAGGCTGCCCCCACTCCTGGCAGAAGGCAAAGAGGAGCCCATGAATACAGAGGTCACATGGCAAGAGAAGGGTGTACTACCAAGCTCTTTTTTAACAATCAGCTCTCCAGGGAACTAATAGAGTGAGAACTCACTCATCTTTTCACCTCTTAGGGAGGGCGTTAATCTGTTCATGAGGGATCCACCCCCATGACCCAAATGCCTCCCATTAGGTCCCACTTCCAACTTTGGGGATTAAATTATAACATGAGATTTGGGAAGGGACAAACATCTGTAGTATATATAACACATTCCCAATGATATTAACTTCTGATTAAGTCTTTTTAGGGACCAGATTAGATGTGAATGGTGGACTGCCTATCTGTCAATAACTGTTAACTGTGACAATGCCTTTACTCAAAGTTAAGAAAAATACTTTTTAGGATTAAAAACAATTCTTCAAAAAGTTAAATCTTTAACACTTAATGTGATTAGAGAAGTGTTGCTTTAAAATACTTATATTAATCAAGCATTTTTCATGTTTAAAGCAAAGTTCTAACCTTAAGAAGCTGATAATTTGGAACCCATAAGTCAAGTGTTGAAATAACTGAAATAAAACAAAGACTATAAATGATGTAGAAGTAGAAAGAAAACACACTGGTGTCAAAGAGAAAGCTCTCATGTAGTAAAGAAGGCTAGGAAAACTTACGAAGCATGGGGCATTTGAGTTGGATTATGGTATTTAGACCAGTGGAAATGGAAGGGGGCACTCCAGGTGACGGGAAAAGCATTAGCAAAGGTCTAGAGATAGAAAAGCATAGGATATAATAGGAAGTGACCAATTTGTTTGGAATAAGGTATCGAGAACAGTGAGAGATGAGGCTTGCAACCAAGATAAAGACTAAAGAATGCAAAATGTTGAATGTCAAACTAAAGTATTTTACATTCCATTCAGAGAGCATCATGAAGTTCTTTTTGTTTTTGGTTTTGTTGTTGTTGTTGTTGTTGTTGTTGTATTTTTGGTAGAGATGGGGTTTCACCACATTAGCCAGGCTGGTTAACTCCTGGCCTCAAGTGATCTGCCTGTCTTGGCCTCCCAAAGTGCTGGGATTACAGGTGTTAGCCACTGTGCCCAGCCAGTATCATGAAGATTTTTGAACTGGAATATATTTCAGAAAGATTCCATTGTAGAGAATATATTACTAGTGAACTCATGGAAAGGAATTTGACATCAGATGGTAGTAGTTCTCATGTGGTAATTAAGGGAATGTGTAATTTCTGTGAGTCCACAAATTCTCTTTGCTCATGCCAAAGGGTGCTGACTACTGATTTTTTATGTGTGCATCTTTATTTTTATTATTTTAAGTTCCAGGGTACATGTGCAGGACATGCAGGTTTGTTACGTAGGTAAACATGTGCCGTGGTGGTTTGCTGCACATACCAACCCATCACCTAGGTATTAAGCCCAGCATGCATTAGCTATTTTTCCTGATGTTCTCCCTCTCCATGCTCCCCCTCAAGAGGCCCCAGTGTGTGTTGTTCCCCTCCCTGTGTCCATGTGTTCTCGTTGTTCAGCTCCCACTTATGAGTGAGAACATACGGTGTTTGGTTTTCTGTTTGTGCATTAGTTTGCTGAGGATAATGACTTCCAGCTCCATCCATGTCCCTGCAAAGGACATGATCTCATTCCTCTTATGGCTGCATTGTATTCCACAGTGTATATGTACCACATTTTCTTTATCCAATCTATCATTGATGGGCATTTGGGTTGATTCCATGTCTTTGCCATTGTGAATAATGCTGCAGTGAACATATGCATGCATGTATCTTTATAATAGAATGATTTATGTTCCTTTGGGTATATACCCAGTAATGGGATTGCTGGGTCAAATGGTATTTCTGGTTCTAGGTCTTTGAGGAAGCGCCACACTGTCTTCCACAACGGTTGAATTAATTTACATTCCCACCAACAGTGTAAAACTGTTGCTATCTCTCCGCAGCCTTGCCAGCATCTGTTGTTTCTTGACTTTTTAAATAATTGCCATTCTGACTGACGTGAAATGATATCTCATTGTGGTTTTGATTTGCATTTCTCTAATGATCAACTACTGATCTTTTTACTACTACAGCTTTCCAGGCATTTAAAGTTATATTAATATGGGTACCACAGAATACAATTTAGACATTTCACATTTACCATTTTCTTTGTTTAGAATGGATGGCTCACTGGAATGCCGTCTTTGACCTGGCCTGGGTTCCTGGTGAACTTAAACTTGTAAGTGACTTTATTTCATTAGGATCTGGGTAAATACTGATAAGGGAGTGCTTTATTAAATTGTGTTTACCTTATTTTTGAAAGGTTACAGCAGCAGGTGATCAAACAGCCAAATTTTGGGACGTAAAAGCTGGTGAGCTGATTGGAACATGCAAAGGTCATCAATGCAGCCTCAAGTCAGTTGCCTTTTCTAAGTTTGAGAAAGGTAGGTTTGTGCTTATCTTCTTTCATCTCCTTAACCTTCTTTGCAGTTGGGAGATAAGAACCTGTAATTGTTTCTACCCTTTCCCCTGTCAAAGTTACTGCTTTACCTACATAGATGATTAAGATTCTTTTTTTGGAGACAGTTTCGTTCTGTTGCCCAGGCTGGAGTGCAGTGGCGCCATCTCGGCTCACTGCTACCTCCGCTGCCTCCCAGGTTCAAGTGATTCTCCTGCGTCAGCCTCCGGAGTAGCTGGGACTACAGGCGCACATCACCATGCCCAGCTAATTTTTGTATTTTTAGTAGAGACGGGGTTTCACCATGTTGGCCAGGCTGGTCTAGAACTCCTGAGCTCAGGCAATCCACCTGCCTCAGCCTCCCAAAGTGCTAGGATCACAGGCGTGAGCCGCTGCACCCAGCCAGGTGATTAAGATTCTAACATGACTGAAAACCTTAATAAAATTAAATTGGTTTTAGGCCCACTCTTCTGGACATTATCTCTAGCTTGTCCCTGAAAGTCAAGAGTCTTTGATAAGTTTTTCTGTAATCTTGCACATAAGGTAAAGATTTATAAACAGCTACAATACCATTGTTCAACCTTGATTGTTCATTGAAGTTAAAACCTTGTACTGGGCACTCATTAACTATTTGTAAAACAGAGTTACTTTAACTCTGCTTGTAAAATCTAAATGAGCTATAAGGCTGATAAACAACATAATTTTTTTCTACCTAAAAATTTATCATGTATTTGGTTTAAATGGCCTGTTTTTTGTTTTTTGTTTGTTTGTTTGTTTTTTGAGACGGAGTCTCTGTCACCCAGGCTGGAGTGCAGAGGCTCGATCTCAGCTCACTGCAGCCTCCATCCCCCGGGTTCAAGCAATCCTCTCCCTCAGCGTCCCAAGTACCTGGGAGGGATTACAGGAGCCTGCCACCACGCCCAGCTAATTTTTGTGTTTTTAGTAGATCTGGGGTTTCACCATCTTGGCGAGGCTGATCTTGAACTCCTGACCTCGTGATCCACCTGCCTCGGCCTCCTAAAGTGCTGGGATTACAGGCATGAGCCACCACACCCGGCCAAATGGCCCAATTTTCTATTATGTTTTCAACTATTACTTAAAATTGATTTTCCTATGTTTATATTGTTATAATGGACAAGGAAGATTTAAGAGTTATATAACACAGCACAGTACTGTAGCAGCTAGGGAAAAACTTATCAGTGGTGTCTGAATAAGCTCTTCATTTCTGTTTTTGTTTGTTTGTTTTCTCCTTCCATTTGTTTCTCACTAAATAATTTTTTTTAAATGGACCAACAAACATTTCTCTCAAAGGAGTCTCTGAAGTAATCTGACTTTAATCTCTGAATAATAGTGACAGACATTACAATCTCCTTTATCACTAAAAAAAAAAAAAGTACTCTGTTTTAAAAATCAAATGTTTTCATTTATTCACCTGAGCCATTTAGGAGGTTAAGCTGGTTTGGACTGGTTTTTTGTTTGTTTGTTTGTTTGTTTGTTTGTTTGTTTTTTGAGACAAAGTCTCACTCTGTTGCCCAGGCTGGAATGCAGTGGCGTGATCTTGGCTCACTGCAACCTCCACCTCCCAGGTTCAAGCAATTCTCATGCCTCAACTTCCCAAGTAACTGGGATTACAGGCGTGTACCACCACGCCCAGCTAATTTTTGTATTTTTAGTAGAGACAGGGTTTCGCCATGTCGGCCAGGTTGGTCTCGAACTCCTAACCTCAAGTGATCTGCCCGCATTGGCTTCCCAAAGTGCTGAGATTACAGGCATGAGCCACCATGCCCAGCCTGGCTTGGACTTTTAAGAAAGTCGGTTTTAATTTACTGTGGTTGCAGTTGAAACTGGAACCTTGAAGGGGAAATATGGCATGATTTTTCTTATTTCTGCATAACTTTATTAACATATTTAAGTAGTTAGGTATGCTTGTGTTCTAGTTTTCTACACTCTTGTGTCATAGTTCACTCTGAGTTTGTAAACATAATTTTAAGATAATGAAAATTTACCTAACTAAAGAGTAGTGGAAAACATATCTTTTGGTCCTTTTGCTTAATTTTTACAACTCTGCATGTGAATCAGCCTGTGACAATGAGCTGTAGAAGAAAAGGCACTGAGTTAGAGATTGGGGCAGGTGGCTTTTTTCATGATTTTCAGTAGTTCATAGGTACTCTAGTGTAAATTAGTCTGATCGGATACTGCTCCCAAGCCCTGTGGTTTGTTTTGTTAAAACAGAATAGATAATAGCTCCACTCACTCCATCAGCCATAAGCCCTCTTGCAGGGCAAACCTTTGCAACTAAACATGGAAGCCCTCTGTTTTATTCTGGCCTCCTGGGCAAAGTGATTTTAACCTCCTTGGGCCTTCATTTTCTAATTTTATGAGATAAATACCTAGTCTATTTAGGTCACAAAAATATTGTAGACATAAAAGTGAGGTGAAATATGAATACTTTTTTTTTTTTAATCTGAGCTCATTATGGTGGCTCATCCCTATAATCCCAGCAACTTGGGAGGCTGAGAAGGATTGCTTGAGGCCAGGAGTTCACGACCAGCCTGGGTAACATAGTGAGACCCTATAAGAAAACAGAAAATTAGCTTGGTACAGTGGTATGCACCTATAGTCCGAGCTACTTGGGAGGCTGAGGTGGGAGGATCGCTTGAGCCCAGGAGTTTGCAGCTGTAGTGAGCTGTGATTGTGCCATCATACTCTAGCCTGGGCAATAGAGTGAGACCCAGTCTCAAAATAAATTAATTAAATCAATCGATCTATCTATAATCAATCAGAGGACCATATAAATACTTAGTGTTTTGTGGGGGTTTTTGTAGGTAGTATGGTAGAAAACATCTTTGGTCCAGTTCCTTCCACCCTACATAGGTAGGATACAAATAATCCTAACTGGACATAGTCACACTAATGGAATTTGCCTTCCCTAAGTATCTACCAACTAAAAGCAAAGAAAATGGACTCAGATAAGTGCTTTGTGTGGCAAAAGGGCAGGTATTAGAACTTCTAGTGGATAATTAAAATTGATTATAAATTTATTTCCTCTCCTACAAACTTACCTATATTTACACCTTCTTTCTCATTCTTCATTCTCAAGTTTTAATTAAATGAGAATCTCTTGCAAGTGGGCCAGGCATTTATTTTTTCAAAGTTCCTCAAGGGATTTCAATGTGTAGCTAAAATTGAGAAACATTCTTGATCCTTCCCAAGACCTTCCACCATCACATGTATCCCCACTACCCTGTATCTTCAAGTTCTCCCTCTCTATTGGCTGTTTCTCCTTAGGAGAAGATATTTGGCCTATTTTCCCAAATATCTTAACCCTGTGTTCTCTTTTAGTTGTTACTGTTTCATATTTTCCATCTCCTTTAATTTGGTTTAATCTATTTTCCACATCTAGCCCTCTTCCTGAAATCACTCTTGCTAAGGTTATTAATTATCTAATTATCAGAAAGCACGAAACTTTTCAGGTCTTTTCTTCTGCTTGTATAATATGTTACACTTTTGGTCTTTTATAGAATTTCAATAAAAGTCTTTGCTTAGAATCTGTGATATCCCACTCCCTCTGGTACTCCTTCTGTCCTTCTCTTTATTCTTTCATAGTTGCTTTTACCTAGGTTGAAGTGTTAGCAAGGCCCAGGATTTGGTGTTTAGCCTTTTTTTGCTTTCAACCTATACCTTCTTGGACAGTTTCATCTGTACCAGTTTTGTTTTGTTTTTCATCCTACTTGTGTTGACCCAGATCTATATTCCTAGCCTTAACCTTTCTGCAAGTACTTCAGATTCAACATATCAAAAAGTGAACCCACAATTCCTCCCTGAACTCATGATTTCTCCCTGGCAATGCCATCTTTTTCCTCTCCTCTGATATCATTTCCTTGAACAACGTATTTAACTTTTCTTATAGTGTGAGTCTGATGGTAATAATTTACCTTAGTTTTTCTTTACCTGAAAATGTCCTTATTTCATCATCATTCTCGAAGGACATTTTTGTTGGATATGAAATTCTTTTTTTTTTTTTTTTTTTTTTTTTTTTTTTTTTTTTTTTTTTTAGCCCAGAGGTCCTTTATTTTTTTTTTTTAACACCTATTATGCCATGAATTCATAGGGAATAGGTTCCAGCAGCTCAGGCTCCTTCCCATTGGTTCTCACAAAGTGTGCTTCTCTGGGTGGAGCAGGCTGGCGCTTTAGTTGAACCCAGGTACCTTTCTCTTTGGCTTCTTTCTTTTTCTGATCATTTTCCTTCACACGTTTCAGGAAGCTATCTCGGCTCTTAGAATGCTTAATGTGCTCAATACGCACATTAATTCTCTTGGCAAGAATCTTGCCCTTAACTTGTTTGTTTACAACAATGCCAACAGCATGCTGGGTAACATTGTAGACTCTTCCAGTTTTGCCATGGTAACACTTGTGGGGCATTCCTTTTTGAACAGTACCCGTTCCCTTGATGTCTACAATATCACCTTTCTTATAGATTCGCATATATGTGGCCAAAGGAACAACTCCATGTTTTCTAAAAGGCCTAGAGAACATATATCGGGTGCCTCTCCTCTTTCCCTTTGTGTTTGTCATTTTGGCGAATTACTGGAAGATGGCGGTTCCGGCCGAAAAGAAGCTGGATATGAAATTCTGGGTCAACAGCTTTTTTTTCCTTTCATTGCTAAAGTTGTTCCACTATCATCTCTGCTTTCATTGAGAACTCTGTGGTTGTTAAAATCATTTCCCTGTATATAATATGCTGTTTTTCCTGACTATTTTCAGGATTTTTTGTCTTTGGTTTCTAGCAGTTTGACTGTGGTATGTCTAGTCATGGTTCCCTTCACAGTTTTCCTGTTTGAGGCTTGTTTTAGCTTTTTGTATTTGTAAATTCCTTTTTACTGAATAGGAATTTTTCTATCATTTCTTGAAATACTTTTTCTGGGCCAGGTGTGGTGGCTCAGGCCTGTAATCCAAGCACTTTGAGAGGCTGAGGCAGGCAGATCACCTGAAGTCAGGAGTTCAAGACCAGCTAGGCCAACATGATGAAATCCCATCTTTACTAAAAATACAAAAATTAGCCAGGCGTTGTGGTGGGCACCTGTAATCCCAGCTACTCAGGAGGTTGAGGCAGGAGAATCGCTTGAACCTGGGAGGCGGAGGTTGCAGTTAGCTGAGATCGCACCACTGCACTCCACACTCCAGCCTGGGCAACAGAGCGAGACTCTGCCTCAAAAAAAAAAAAAAAAGAAATATTTTTTCTGCCTAATTTATTCATATTCTCTCTCCTCCCTGCTTCTTCTGTTACCTTAATTACCCATATATATATATTTTTTTTCAATTACTCATGTATTTGACTTTTCTAAATTATCCCATGCATCCTTGAGGTTTTGTTTTTTTTCAGTTATCCTAAACTTAAGATAAAATGAACAAGCCATAAAATTCATCCATTTAAAGTACACGGTTTAGTGGTTTTTAGTTTATTCACTAAGTCGTGCAGCTATCACCACAATCTAAATTTAGAATCTTTTCATCAGTCCAAAAAGAAACTTGAACGCATTAGCAGTACTTTCACCCATTCCTTCCAACCTTATACAACCACTATAGTAATTTCGGTCTCTATAGATTTGCCCATTATACACATGCATACAAATGGAATGATACAATATGTGGTCTTCTGTGACTGGCTTCTTTAATTTAGCCTAATGTTCAGTTCTATTTTTCTCTCTCTTCTTCAAATTGAATGATTTCTATTAATTTGTCCTAAAGTTCACTTTCTCTATTTTCTCCAGCCTGTTCTTAGGCCTATCCAGTGATTTTTTTTTTTAATTTCAGATACTGGTTTTCAGTTCTAAAATTTTCTTATGTTTTTTTTAAGACAGGGTCTGGCACTGTTGCCCAGATTAGAGGGCAGTAGCATGATCATAGGCACATGCCACCATGCCTGGCTAATTTCTTTTTGTATTTTTTGTAGAGATGGGGTTTCACCCATGGTTGGTCTTGAACTTCTGGGCCCAAGGGATCTGTCAACCCCAGCCTCCCAAAATGCTGGGATTACAGGCATGAGCCACAGTGGCT
Organism: Homo sapiens; assembly: GCF_000001405.40. NCBI lineage: Eukaryota > Metazoa > Chordata > Mammalia > Primates > Hominidae > Homo > Homo sapiens. The sequence continues at coordinate 212,053,489 of NC_000001.11, forward strand.
GACCTTCATTTGTTTGTTTGTTTGTTTGTTTCCTGCTGAGATTTATCATCTTTTTATTGATTACAAGTGTATATATTTTTTTCTTCCTTTTTTTGTTTTTTGTTGTTGTTGTTGTTTGAGACAGGGTCTCACTCTGTCACCCAGTTTGGAGTGCAGTGGCGAAATCTGCTCACTGCAACCTCTGCCTCCCGGGCTCAAGTGATCCTCCCACCTCAGCCTCCCAAGTAGCTGAGGCTATAGGTGCATGCCACCACACCCAGCTAATTTTTGTATTTTTTGTAGAGATGGGGTTTCGCCATGTTGCCCAGGCTAAGTGTACGTTTCTTTAACTCATTTAACATGGTTATGTATCCTTTACAACCTTATCTGATAAATCAATATCTGGATTATCTTGGGATTGGCTTCCATTGATTTATTTTCCCTTGAGAATTATTCGTTTTCCTGGCTCTTTGTAAGTCAAGTAATTTAAGATTATATTCAGGACATTGCGAGTGGTATGTTGGATTCTAGATTCTGTTATATTGCTTAGAAAAGAGTTGGTGTTCCTTTTTTAACAGGCAATTCACTTGTTTGGATCCAAATTGAAGACTGTCACACCTACAGGAGGGCAGTGGATCTTATCTCAATTATTTTCTTTAGTTTAAGCCTCAGCTGCAAACTGCTTTCAGTTTCTCTTGCCCATATGGTACAGGGGTCAGCCAGAGACTTGGACTGAGTTTAAACACGGAATCATGGGTTCCCTTTCTCTAGCTGTCTCCAGGTTTTCCCCATCCCCTCACTCTCTGACTGTTCTTGTTGCTCCCAGTCTCCTTTTCCTTGTTCTTCTGGCTTGAAAGATGGCAGATTTTTTAATTTGCATTTTAGCTGCCTGGTATTAATGCTGCAACTTTGGCTGTCCTCAAGGTAAAACCACACACACAAAAAAAAAAAAAACACCAAAAAACCCAGTAACTTAATCTCAGGCCAATCATTTGCTAAAGATGTTGACTCTCCTCCAAAAATTGCATGTTTAAGAGGAAAGTGGGCCAGGCACGGTGGCTCATGCCTGTAATCCCAGCACTTTGCAAGGCTGAGGTGGGCTGATCACCTGAGGTCAGGAGTTCGAGACCAGCCTGGCCAAGATGGTGAAACCCTGTCTCTACCAAAAATATAAAAAATTAGCCGGGTGTGGTGACACATGCCTGTAATCCCAGCTACTCGGGAGGCTGAGGCGGGAGAAGCGCTTGAACCTGGGAGACAGAGGTTGCAGTGAGCCAAAATCGTGCCACTGCACTCCAGCCTGGGTGACAACGAGACACCACCTCAAAAAAAAAAAAAAAAAAAAAGGAGGAAAGTGGTAACTTAAAGGGAGGAGTAAATTTTATCCCCAAACAACAGTTTCTATTTTAGGCGGAGTAAATTCCAACAAAAGGGGAAAAATGAACCCGAGTGACATTCTGTACAACCAAAGCTGTTAAAAGGAATGAATAGTGCCTGACACTTAAAAAGTGCTGAATTAGATGAATGGTTTCAACATGGCTGACTAGATGCATCTGGTACTCACCTCTTTCACAGAGTGGAACCAAAATAGTGAGATATTATAGTGACAGTGAGATCGTAGATAATCACCCTTCAAATAGATCATCTAAGAGAGAACACTGGGATTCAACAGAGAAGTGATAAGAAGCTCCGGAAGCAAGGAAGGAGAGAAAAGTAAAGCAGCCTGTTTGGCTGGGATCAGCTAGGAATCTGGAGAGGCTTCCTATGCAGGGACAGAGTAAGTGGGAGACCCCCAGCAGCCCAAATACCCACTGTGAACCCTAATAATAGCCATGGGAGACCCCTTGATGCTCACGGACCCTGAGACTAACATAGGGAGCTGCCTGGAGACTTCATGAAGGCATTGCTCCAGAGAGATATCATACTGGGTCCCACAAACCCTCAAGTCCTAAGCAGCTGTAACACTGATTTTCAGAGCCCAGCCCCCACCAGACTGTGTCCTGCCCTGCCACCCAGGCTGAATTGGGAGCCACACACAGCGACCTCATTCCCCTGAGTGGAGGGGCAGCTGCACATTTTCACACTCCCCAAGGACAAATTCCACTTCCTGCAACCACCACCACTCTGGGCTGCTGCAGGGCAGAGGTGTAAGCAAAACTCAGTCGTTTAACTGCCTGCCTATGGGTACTCCCAGGGAAAGCAACCCCACTCTGCATGTCAGTACTGCAGCATAGCTGCTGCTGCCCCTTACCTGAGCATTCCACTGGAAGCCTGGGGATCACCCCACCCCTGCCTTCCATAGCCAGCACCTGCATGCACCACCAGGGTCACTGAGGGCAGTTCCACCTAGCCTGGCTTCATACACGCCACTACCCAAGCACACCCTCTGGGAGGCCTGAGGATTGCCCAGTTCAGTTCATCACCAGTGGTGCCTGAGCACTCCTCCTAGAGTCTAAACTTGGGCCTACTCAATCTGCTGCTACCACCATAGCTGGCACCAACCTGTACATGCAACCTGCAAGTCTAGGGACTGGCCTGCCCAACCTGTCACAGCCACCGCCAACACTAGTACGGAACACTTGGGTTCCAGGGGATTTTTTCATCACTGCTACTGTCATCATCCACACCACTCCACACCTCCTGCCCAGGGGCTCAAGAATTTGCCCACCCACCTGGCCCACTGCTGCCATTTCCAATACCTGAGTAAGTCATCTGAAGGCCCAAGAATCTACCTGCCTGGATCCATTAACACCAGTGCCAGCGTATGCTGCCTTGGGGCCAAAGGACACACAGGCTCAGACCACTGCTGCCACCACTGGGGCCTGAAGACTGGCCCACCTGGTATTTCAATTTCTGGCAAAACTTAACCAGTCTGCACTAAAAACCACACTCTAATCTACCAACGAAACCAGATACCAATGACTCTATGGCCAAAAGAAATGATAGAGACTATGCTACTGCTTGCATCCAGAACCAAAGCCAAGTGTCCTCTCCAACCATCACCATAGATACATCTTCAGGAAAATGTTCTCCACTACAAACCAAATTCAAAAAATTGGAAAAAGCAACTGTTACACCAGGTGCACAAATATCAACATAAAAACACAGAGAAATCAAAAAGCAAGGATATGTGACACATCCAAAGGAACACAGTAATTCTTCAGCAACAAATCCCAATCAAAAAGGAATTCTCAAAATCCTGGAAAAATGATCCAACATACTGATACTAAGGAAGCTCAGTGAGAGAAAAGAGAATTCTGAAAGACAATACAAAGAAACAGAAAAATAATTGAGGAAATGAATGAGGAATCTACCAAAGAGATAGGTATCATAAAATAGAGCTAAATTCTGGAACTACAGAATTCATTTAATGAAATACAAAATACCTTTGAAAGCTTCAACAATAGACTAGATCAAGCAGAAGAATCCCAGAACTTGAAGATGTTTTGAAGATCTTTTAAAATAACCTACTCAGACAAAAATAGAGAAAAAATAATAAACATGAATGACTAAAGCTTTCATGGCATATGGGACACTATAAAGTGGCCAAATATATGAATTTTCAGTGTCCCAGAAGGCAAAGATAAAATGAAAGGGTTAGAAAGCCTATTTAACAAAATAATAGGTGAAAACTTCCCAAGTCTAGCAAGGGATTTATATATCCACATACAGGAGGCTCCAAGATCCCCACATGGATATAATTCAAAAAGGTTTTTTTTCCATGGCACATTGTAGTCAAACTCAAAAGTCAAAGACAAAGTGAAAATTCTAAAAGCAGAGAAAAAACATCTAGTCACCTATAAAAGAAACCCCATCAGACCTAACAGCAGATTTCTCAGCAGAAATCTTATAGTTCAGGAGAGAATGAGATGATATATTCAACATGCTTAAAGAAAAAAAAAAAAACCTGCCACCCAAGAATACTACACCCAGTAAAATTATCCTTCATAAATAAAAGAGAAATAAAGTCTTTCCCAAACAAGCAAAAGCTGAGGAAATTAATCACCAGTAGATGGGCCGTACAGAAAATACTAAAAGGAGTCTTATACCGGGAAGTGAAGAGCAATATTTACTGTCATGAAAACACAAGAAAATATAAAAACTACTGGTAAGCAAACACACAAACAAGAAAGAGGAAAGGCTGAAATGTTACCACTACCGAATACCATGAAACCATAATGATAAAAAGTACCAGAGAAAGGAAGGAACAAAGGATATACAGAACAACCAGAAGTCAATCAATAAAGTTAGGAATAAGCCTTCACATATCAATAACGTTGAATGTAAACATGTTAAACTTTCCATTTGAAAAGTACAGACTGGGCAAATAGACAAATGTGACCTAATTATATGCTGCCTACAAGAAACGCATCTCACCTGTGAAGACAAGTATAAACTGAAAATAAAGGAATGTAAAAAGATACTACATGCAAATGGAAACCAAAAGCAAGCAAGAATAGCTATACTTACATCAGATAAAACAGACTTTATGTCAAAAGCAGTAAGAAGAAACGAAGGTTATTCTATGATGATAAATCAGTTCAGCCAAAGGATATATCAATTGTAAACATGTATATACCTAACACTGGAGCACACAGATATATAAAGCCAATACTATTAGATCTAAAGGGAGAGACTCCAGTGCAATAACAGTTGAGGACTTCAGCCACCCCACTCAGCGTTAGACAGATATCTAGAAAGAAAATTGGATTTAAACTGCACATTAGACCAAATGGACCTAAGAGATATTTACAGAACATTTCATCCAACAGCTACAGAATACACATTCTTCTCATCAGCAAACAGAATATTCTCCAAGCTAGACCACATGTTAAGACACAAAACAAGTCTCAACACATTTTTAAAAGTTGAAATAATATCAGGAATCTTCTCAGACCACAATGGAATAAAACTAGAAATCAACAACAAAAGGAAGTTTGGAAACTACAAATACGTGGAAATTAGGCAGTATGATTATGAATGACTTGGGTAAAGGAAGAAATTAAGGAAATTTTTACAATTCTTGAAACAAATGAAAATTGAAACCCAACATACCAAAACCCATGGGATACAATAAAAGCAGTACTAAGAGGAAAGTTTATAGCAATACACACCTATACCAAAAAAGTAGAAAGACTTTAAAAGAATCTAACAATGTACCTCAAGGAACTAGAAAAGCAAGAACAAACCAAACCCCAAATTAATAGAGGGAAATAATAAATAGCAGAGCCTAACTAAATAGAGACTTAAAAAAACAAGAAAAAGGGTCAACAAAACAAAAGGTTGGTTTTTGGAAAAGATAAACAAAATCAATAAGGTACTTGCTAGACTAACCACGAAAAAAAAGAAAGATGGTCTTAAATAAAATCAGAAATGAAAAAGGAAACATTGCAACTGATAATACAGAAATACAAAAGATCATCAGAAACTATTGTGTACAACTATACACTAACTAGAAAACCTAGAGGAAATGGATAGATTACAGGACACATGCAACCTACCAAGACTGAATCAGAAAGAACTAGGAAACCTGATCAAATCAATAGTAACAAGATCAAAGCAATAATAAAAAGTCTTCCAACAAAGAAAAGTTCAGGACCAGATGGCTTCACTGCTGAATTCTACCAAACTTTTAAAGAACTAACACCAGTTCTCAAACTATTCCAAAAATTGAAAAGGATGGGAATTCTCCCTAACTCATTCTACAAGGCCAGCATTATTCTGATACCAAAACCAGACAAGCACAAGGACACACACAAAAAAACTACAGAACATACGGACATAGATGCAAAAATCCTCAACAGAATACTAGCAAACTGAATTCAACAGCACATTAAAAAAAAAAAATACACCATGATCAAGTGGGATTTATCCCAGGAATGCAAGAATAGCTCAATATAGACAAATCAATAAACATGATACATACGTCATCAACAGAATGAAGGACAAAAACCATATGATCATTTTAGTAGATAGAGAAAAATAATTCGATAAAATTCAGCATCTCCTCCGAATTAAAAAACTCAACCAACTAGGCATGGAAGGAACATATCTCAACATAAAAAGGCTGTATATGACAGACTCACAGTTAACACCACACTGAATCGAAAAAAGCTGGAAGCCTTTCCCTTGAGAACTGGAACAAGACAAGGACGCACGCTTTTCACCACTCCTATTCAACATGGTACTGGAAGTTCTACCCAGAGCAATCAGGCCAGAGAAAGAAGTAAAAAGTATCCAAACTGGAAAAGAAGTTGTATTTTCCTTGGCTGATGTTATGATCTTATATCTAGAAAAACTTAAAGACTCTACAAAAAAAAAAAAAAAAAAAAAAAACCTCAGATCTGATAAATTCATTAAAAGTTGCAGAATACAAAATCAACATACAAAAAAAATAGCATTTCTATACATCAATAATGAATTAGCTGAGAGAGAAATCAGGAAGGCAATCCCATTTACAATAGCTACAAAAAAATAAAACACTTAGGAATAAATTTAGCCAAAGAGGTGAAAGACCTCTATAAGGAAAAGTATGAAACCGATCAAAGAAATTGAAGAGGAGACAAATGGAAAGAGACCTCATGCTCATGGATGGGAAAAAATTATTATTTTTAAAATGGCCATACTACCCCAAGCAATCTACAGATTCAGTGCAATCCCCATCAAAATACCAACATCATTTTTCACAGAAGTAGAAAGAACAATCTTAAAATTTATGTGGAGCCAAAAAGAACCCAAATGCCAAAGCAATCCTAAGCAAAAAGAATATAGCTAATATAATAACTAAAACAGCATGGCATAAAAACAGACACAGAGACCAATGGAACAGAATAGAGAATTCAGAAATAAATCCATATATTTACAGCCAATTGATTTTCAATAAAGGTGCCAAGAACCTACAATAAACGGTGCTGGGAAAACTGGGTATCCACATGCAGAAGAATGAAACTGTACCTCTATCTCACTATATTAAAGAAAATCAAGATAGGCCAGACATGGGGCTCATGCCTGTAATCCTAGCACTTTGGGAGGCCAAGGCAGGTGGATTGCCTGAGCTCAGGAGTTCAAGACCAGCCTGGGCAACATGGCAAAACCCCACCTCTACTAAAATACAAAAAATTAGCTTGACGTGGTAGGCGCGCCTGTAGTCCCAGCTGCTTGGAAGGCTGAGGCATGAGAATCGCTTGAGCACAGGAGGCAGAAATTGCAATGAGCCAAGATAGCACCACTGCACTCCACCCTGGTTGACACAGTGAGACTCAGTCTCAAAAAAAAAAAAAAAAAATCAAGATGGAGTATAAAGACTTAAATGTAAGACCTGAAACAATAGAACTACTAGAAGAAAACATAGGGAAAACACTTCAGGATATTGGTTTAGGCAAAGATTTTATGGCTGGCCAAGAACTCAAAAGCACAGACAACAAGAACAAATAGATAAACTAGACTATACTAAACTAAAAAGCTTCTGCATGCCAAAACTTTTTGAATGGGAAGTATTTGCAAACTATTTATCTGATAAGGGAATAATATGTAGAATGTATACAAGGAACTCGAACAACTCAACAGTAGAAAAGACAAAATATTAAAAAGTAGGCAAACACAGACTGGGCAATGTGCCAAAACTGTCTCTACAAAGAAATACAAAAAAATTAACTGGGCATGGTGGTGTACTACTGTAGTCCCAGCTACTTGGTGGGGCTGAGATGAGAGGATCACTGAGCCCTGAGCGGTGATTACATCGCTGTACTCCAGCCTGAGTGATAGAGTGAGATCCTGTCTCAAAAAAAAAAAAAAAGTAGGCAAAGACCATGAATAGACATTTCGCGAAAGAAGACATACAAATGGCCAACAGGTATGTGAAAAACTGCTCAACATGACTAATAACCACAGTGAGATATCATCTTAACCCAGTTAGAATGGCTATTATTAAACAAAACATGCTGGCAAGGATGTGGAGAAAAGAGAACTCTTGTACACTGTTGGTGGAAATGTAAATTAGTCCAGTCACTATGGAAAACAGTAAGATTTCTCAAAAAAAAAAAAACAAATAGAATTACCATTGATCTAGCAGTCTCATTATTGGGTATTGATTCAAAGACAAACAGTATATCAAAGGAATAACTGCAGTCACATTGTTGCAGCACTATTCACAATAGCCAAGATATGGAATCAACCTGTCTATTAACGAACAAATAGAGTTTTTAAAAATGTAGTATATACACAATTGAATACTATTTGGCCATAAGGAAATGTCATTCACATCAACATTATGTTAAACAAGCCAGGCACAAAAGATAAATTTCACATGTTCCCATTTATATGTGGGTGCTAAAACAGTATCATGGAGGTAGAGAGTAGAATGATAAATAACCAGAGGCTGGAAAGTGAGTGGGTGTGAGGGGGGAATGAAGAAAGGTTGCTTGATGGATACAAGCATAAAGTTAGATAGAAGGTGTAAGTTCCATTGTTCGATACCTGACTATTGTCACCTTACAAATTATTGTATATTTCAAGCAGCTAGAAGAGAGAACTTAAAATGTTCCCAGCACATAGAAATGATGAATACAAGGTGATGGATACCCCAGATACCCTGACTTGATCATAACACATTCTATGCAGGCATCAAAATATCACATATACCCCATAAATATGTAAAATACTATGTATCAGTAAGAAAAATTGCATGTTTTCATTCAGTTTCCACAGAGCCCTCAGGTAGCTGTTTTTGTGTTTTATCCCATGTACAACTAATGCAAGTGGATTAGTTTAAGTGCTCACTCTTTCACACAGGAAGCAGGGTTTTTTTCTGGCTTAATTTTAAAGAATAAAACATTACAGATAAATTGAAGTTCTCCTATAGTGCCTTTTCCAATCCCATTGCATCCCAGGCAACCTCTTTAACAAACTTCATATGGATCTGGTCCATATTTTTATACTGAGCCAATACAGTTTAGAGGTTTGGAGTGTAAGCTCTGGATTCATACTGCCAGGAATACCTTTACAAGTTACTTATCCTCTCTGTGCCTCTCTTGGTACTTACCTAATAAGGTTGATAGCAAGGATTGAGATAATTTTTATAAAACACGCGGGATAGTAGCTAACATTTAGAATAAGAAGCACTCTGTATTTTGACTCTTGATTGTTATTCTTATTACAACTGTACTATATATTTTATATGGGTTTTAAAAAATTTACAGAGGGGTGATTCTATGAAGTTTTGGTTCAACATTAGCATCTCAAGCTCTTCATAATCCTTTTTCCTATTTGTTATTGAGCCATATATTTTTAAATGTTTGATCTCCAGTGACAGATACAGTACCTAGCACATAATAGATAGTCTACAAAATGTAAACTGAAATATATGTGTCATTGACTGGTTTTGTTAACCTCTTAATAATCTGTTTATTTCCCCACAGCTGTATTCTGTACGGGTGGAAGAGATGGCAACATTATGGTCTGGGATACCAGGTGCAACAAAAAAGGTTATCTAGATCTATTTTAATTTTGAGAGATTTGGGATTACCCTGTACTTAATTTTGAGTGAAAGAGTTAGTGATTTCATCTGATTACCACCAGGGGGCATGTACTCATAATTTCCCATTTCTGCTCACTGTTCCAGATCTCAGGATCTTCACTGAGTGTCCTGAGTGATAAATACATGAGTGTCACTGTTACAAGTATTACACTCATGTATTTATCTCATATTGTCTTCTGAATTATAATGCCATTTACCCACATTATTGATGGACTTAAAAATATTAATACGCAGCCTCACTGGTAAATGTCTTTATTTTGGTTTTTAAGAATTTTTTTTATTTTATTATTATTATTTTTTTTTTTTTTGAGATGGAGTCTCTGTCACCCAGGCTGGAGTGCAGTGGCGTGAACTTGGCTCACTGCACTCCCCACCCGCTGGGTTCCAGCAATTCCTCTAGCTCAGCCTCCTGAGTAGCTGGGATTACAGCCACCCGCCACCATGCCTGGCTAATTTTTGTATTTTTTTAATAGAAATGGGGTTTCACTATGTTGGCCAGGCTGGTCTCAAACTCCTGACCTCAAGTGATCTGCCCACCCTGGCCTCCCAAAGTGCTGAAATTACAGGCGTGAGTCACCAGGCCCAGCCTGATTTTAAAGAATTAGATTGAATTAAACATAAGCTCATGGTTGTCTCATGATGCTATTAAGCAGACGATGATTATCTCACTGTTCACTTTTAGTTAATTTATTAAAATTTTTTTTTGTGTCTGCATTTTAAAAAATTGGTAACATAGTTCTACATATTTTCAGGGGTATATGTGATATCTTGATACATATATAGAACATGAAATGATCAAATCAGGATAATTGGGATATCCATCACCTCAAACATTTATCTTTTCTTTGTGTTGGGAACATTACAATTCTTCTCTTCTGGTTTTTTGTTTCTTGTTTTTTTTTTTTTTGGAGACGGAGTCTCACTCTGTCACCCAGGCTGGAGTGCAGTGGCGTGATCTCATCTCGCTGCAACCTCCGCCTCCTGGGTTCAAGTAATTCTCCTACCTCAGCCTCTCAAGTAGCTGGGATTACAGGTGCATGCCACCACTCCCAGCTAGTTATGTATTTTTAGTACAGACAGGATTTCACCATGTTGGCCAGGCTGATCTGGAACTCCTGACCTCAGGCAATCTGCCTGCCTCAGCCTCCCATTCTTCTAGCTATTTTGAAATAAATAATAAAATTATTTAGAAAAATTTTAATAAACCTTATTTTGTAGAGCAGTTTTAGGTTCACAGCAAAACTGAGCAGAAAGTACAGAGAGTTCCCATATAGCCCCTGCCCTGCCCACACACAGACTTCCCCACTGACAACATCCTGTGCCTGAGTGGTACATTTGTTATAATCAGTTAACCTATGTCAACACATGCTGTCACTCAGAGTTTATAATTTACATCAGTGTTATATATTCTTAGTATTACACATTCTGTGGATATTGACAAATGTGTAATGACGTGCGTCCACCATTGTAGCATCATACACAATAGTTTCACTACTCTAGAAATCCTCTGTGCTCCAGTTATTCATCCCTACCTCCCTCTAAGCCCTGGCAACCACTGATCTTATTACTTCCCCCAGTCACATTTCCTCCATGTCATTTTATGGCTTTATCAAGCTCATTTCTTTCCAGTGCTGAATAATATTCCATTGTCTGGATGAACCAAAGTTTATCCATTCACCTACTGAAGGACATCTTGGTTGTTTCCAAGTTTTGGCAATTATTAAAGCTGTTATAAACATCTCTCCCTTTTTATACATTATAGTCTCACCACAGGAGATGTAGTGCAGCTGGCTCTGCTGGCTTCTAATTTCACCAACTTGGTCAAAAATTACTTAATATTGAAGTTTTATTTACACATGTTATATTCAGCATGTAAGAATCCTGAAACCTAAATTTCCTTGGAATATCTTTCAGATGGGTTTTATAGGCAAGTGAATCAAATCAGTGGAGCTCACAATACCTCAGACAAGCAAACCCCTTCAAAACCCAAGAAGAAACAGAATTCAAAAGGACTTGCTCCTTCTGTGGTAAGGTTTTACAGATGTATACATGTGTGCAGATCTTATCTGTAGGATAGAATAAATGGGAGGCTATTGATTAAGTGAATGAGAATCTTCATGATTCTCATTTGATATCAGTGGTTTATTGCTTATTCAGTACCTACATTTGTGGTTCTCAAATTTTAATTTTTGGTTCTTCTGAATTATAATGCCATTTACCTATATTATTGATGGAATTAAAATATATGTAGCCTCGTTGATAAATATCTTTAAATTTATTTTGGTTTTAAAGAATTAGATTGAATTAAACATAAGATGTTGTCTCATGCCATTAAGCAGAAAGTGGTTTTTTTTTTTACAATTTCAATATCTACATTTTAAAAAATTGATAACATAATTTTACATATTTTGGGGGGTACACTATGTATAATGATCAAATCAGGGTAATTGAGATAGCCATCACTTCAAATACTGTGTGCATCAGAGTTGCCTGAGGCACATGTTGAAAATTCACCTTACTCATCCCTAAAAATCTCTCTACACACACAGACACAAACACACACACACAAACACACCCCTATAGTATAGTGGAATTCATTAGGAAAAGTGGGGGAGGAGTAGTTTGAAGAAGCATATTAAGTACTGTGATGCAGTTTTCTAAGGGGAAAGAATACCTGTTGTTTTCGTAATACAAACTACAGAAAAATATGTTTTTTGTTTTGAGACAGAGTCTCGCTCTGTCACCCAGGCTGGAGTGCAGTGGCGCAATCTTGGCTCACTGCAAGCACCGCCTCCCAGGTTCACACCATTCTCCTGCCTCAGCCTCCCAAGTAGCTGGGACTACAGGTGCCCACCACCACGCCCAGCTAATTTTTTGTTTTTTTAGTAGAGACGGGGTTTCACCGTGTTAGCCAGGATAGCCTCAATCTCCTGACCTCGTGAGCCTCCCAAAGTGCTGGGATTACCGATGTGAGCCACCACGCCTGGCCAGCTTATTTTTAAGCATTTGACAAAATATTGTTAAATATATTGAGAAACACATGGGTAGAACATAGTACCACTCTAATAACTTACAGTCAGAGCTCAAACAATGCCCATAATATATCCTTTTTCTTTAAAAAATTGCCCTTTTTCTCACTTTAATGTAATTTTTTTTTCATATTCCTGGTGTGTAGGGTACAAGTTAATATTTTGGGGGAAGTATGACTGCTAAGACATTAAGACTTAAAACTATACACCGTGAACAGGACACAAGCATGAATGGAAGCAGATAGTAGAGGCCATATGAAGTTAAAACGAGTAGCATTTCAGACATTTAATCTGGTTCTGAGCCAAGATAACTTGTTAAGTAATAGCAATTAGGAGGTACGACTCCACTGGGCCTCTTTTTCAGGGCATGAAATAATCTTTTATTCATAATTCTTTTGATACTCCTATATGATAATCTAGGTAGACAGCAACATTTTAGAGATTAAACTGGCACAAGAAAGTTAAATAAGTTTCCTAAGGATACACACAGCATATTAGTAGGGCTGAGTCTAAGTAGATGCAGTAGGCTCAGACGAGCAAAATCTTTTAGTCACCAGTTTGTTTTTTGAGTATAAGTTGAAATATTAACACTGTATACTAAAACTTAATGATCCTTGCTAAAATTACCTCTTGGTCAGCATATATATCTGATCGAGATCATTAGACAAGACTTCATCTAAGTCAGTCTGGGGAGAAAAGTCGTTTTTTAGCACCTTGTTCCCTTGATGGTAAAGATTATGATGCCCAAGATAGAATCTTCTTCTTTTCTTGTGCTATCAGGATTTCCAGCAAAGTGTTACTGTGGTCCTCTTTCAAGACGAGAATACCTTAGTCTCAGCAGGAGCTGTGGATGGGTAAGAGTCTATTTCTTTTTTCTTCCGACGAGATCTTTTTTATGAGATTGTGATGAGGCAGTCACATAGTCTCATTATAATTGAATGTGTGTGCTTTCAACTGTCAACATAGCAAGTACCCCAACTGAGGAAAGGAGCTATAGATCACATTGGAAAATACCTAGTTGAAGGACTCTTGCTGGATAATTAAATGAAAGAATACATGTGTCACGCTTAGCACATTGTCTAGCACATAAGAGCAGTGGTAGCTGCTGTTGCTATCTTAGAAAAGAAGCTGGCTGGGTAGCTTGCTTGCCTTATGCAATATAATTTAGTCACTAATTCTCATTTTGAAGAGTAAAATTTCTGTTACTTTGGGTTTTGTCTTTTTCAGGTTTAAGAATATCCTAAAAGAAGAAATCTGATTCTGGGGATGTAATTGACATTTCTGGGAGTAATCTAACTAGATTGATGATAGTAAGGTCTAATGACTTTCACATACCTGTCATCCATGATTAGTCTGAATTCTTGGCTTCCAAATAAGTCTGCTCTGTGATGCTTGTTGATTGTGTTGTAGAATATTAATTCTATGCAAATGGAGACTCTTTCTTTTTAAGTTTCCTTCCTATTATATCTCTCAAGGCATCCTTCTCTTAAAATTTTTAATTTAAAAGATGATGGCTTACCAAACTAGGATTTCCATTGTGTCCTCTGGGCACTAAAACCCTCTGAACCAAATTCTCAGGCAGGAATGAAGGATTATCTAAAGGTTATTAGTTCTGCTTGTGAATGACTGTGAAAGCTTGCTCTGTTTGTTTCCAAGAATACTGTCATTTCATAGCAGGTCTGTGTTTTCAAGTTACCTTTATACTAGAAGTAGAGGATTAAGACAATTATCTCAATAGATGAAATGAAAAAATACTTTATTTCACAGAACAATTTGTTTAGATTATTTAAAGAGTTATGTATGGAGATATAACCACAGGGACAGAACTTGCTACTTATGATATCAAAAATATATGCAGAATATTAAAGGCTTAGGAAGTGTATTTTCTAAAAACAATGGAACAATTACTATCGGCACTCAACCTTCATCTTCCTTTTCCGTTCTCTTAGAGTAAACTCCAGTAACCCATCACTGGGTCAAATCACATCTGTTTCCGTTCTGTCAGAATTATAAGCCTGATATTGGAGACAACAGTATAAGATACTTTAATTTGTTTCCCAATGAAATATCCTTACTGTACCTAGTTAATGTGCCAGAGGAGTTAGATTAAAAGTCATTTCACATTTAGTGTAGTTGAAGTTGTTTGGGGTTGGAAGAAGGTCTACAAAATATTTATTTGCCTTGGTTTTTAGGATAATCAAAGTATGGGATTTACGTAAGAATTATACTGCTTATCGACAAGAACCCATAGCATCCAAGTCTTTCCTGTACCCAGGTAGCAGCACTCGAAAACTTGGTAAGCCTTTAATAGGTCTTTTGGGGGAGATAAGAGTTTTTGTTTAAAAAAAAAAAAAAAGGCTAATTTCCAGTAACATTGATATGAAAAATTCTAATATGTGAAGTTCAAAAGATAAAAACTCAGAAGAATGTTTTTGGTTTGTGTATATTTTGGGGACAAAGAATTCTGATGATGATTCTTATGAAATGATCTATTTTTGTCTCTACATTTTAACCTCAGATCTACTCACCATCATCAGGACGTGCTAACTTAAGTTTCCTTTTTCCAGGATATTCAAGTCTGATTTTGGATTCCACTGGCTCTACTTTATTTGCTAATTGCACAGACGATAACATCTACATGTTTAATATGACTGGGTTGAAGACTTCTCCAGGTAAGATATTAGTCATTCAAATTCTCTTACCAGGAAAGCATTATGGGCTTTTTTTGGTAATGATAATTTAATGGGCTTTCTTCTAAACTGAACTTATTAAGCCATATGAGGACTTTGGCATCTTTGATTACATCCAGTGATAATTTCATAAGTGTACATTCCTTGTGATGATTTCATAAGTTAGCTGAATTGTGCTTTACATGGTGACTTTATTTTAATAGAGAGTATCTCCTGAAATTATGCCCTTTGGCCTATATTTAGAATTCTCTCAATTTTTTATTTAATAAGCTGTGGAGTAGATAAAGTGCTTCTGCTCAGCTTTTTTCCTCTTTAGGGGCTGCTGGTTAAAATTAGGGGGCTGAAATTTTCATACCCCCAAAATAGTTTCAGCCTATCTCAGCCTTCTCCTTAATGTTAGAGGCCCTTTTATTTCTAGATGTTTTCCCCAGCCTCACCTTTTTTTTTTCCTCAAAACTTTAAAAATAGAATCTGATACTTAAAACTAATAAATAAATGATAGTTTTAAAAAGAAAACCCAAGTTTCTCAAGCATGCTTTCCTCTTTTTTTTAATCCTCTCCCCTCCCTCTTCCAAATCACCAGCCTCAGGCATGCTTTAAGAGAGTTATTTGGGTTACATTATTTTTAAGAACATCAATTTCTTAAGCAACATCTTAGTAGCCTGGTTATTCCTCATCTATAGATCTTTCAAAAACACTTTGAATTCCATAACCAATCCTCAGAGTTACCCAGTTTCCACTAAAGTAAAAAGTGCTGATAAACAAGAAATCTCAAGTACAGAACTTGTTTTATTTTATTTATAGATAGATGTAGATATAGATATAAATTTTTTTTTTTTTTTGAGACGGAGTTTCACTCTGTTGCCCAGGCTGGAGTGCAGTGGTTCGATCTCGGCTCACTGCACCCTCCGCCTCCTGGGTTCAAGCAATTCTCCTGCCTCAGCCTCCCAAGTAGCTGGGATTACAGGCGCCCGCCACCATGCCTGGCTAATTTTTGTATTTTTAGTAAAGGCAGGGTTTCACCTTGTTGGTCAGGCTGGTCTCGAACTCCTGACCTCATGATCCACCCACCTCAGCCTCCCAAAGTGCTGGGATTACAGGCGTGAGCCACCATGCCCGGCCCAGAACTTGTCATTTTAGCTGAGATCTTACAGAATTTTCCAAAGATCACCCCAAGCAATCTTATTAGGACTTTAGTATCGGTGGCAGCATCATAGTCTGCATTTCTGATACTTTGCACTGGGTCTAGTTTTCTCTAAACAGGAGCAATAGTATTTAGAAAAGGGAAGAGGTGTTTCTTTTGCTATTTTCCTTAATGGAATCTGAGCTTGGAGAGCTGCTAATTTAGTTAGTCAAATAAAATAGACTTTTCAACATCTTTCCTTGAAAGATAAAGCGTGATCCTGATTATATTATCAGATGTACAAGAGCTCTTTCTATATAATTTTTGCTACAGTGTGGCACTGAAAAGGTCCTTGAGTTTAGTGTCCTGCTGTCCAACACTTCGCTAATAATTTAGTAAACCTTTTCTATGCTTCTATTTAATTTCATTTGCGCAGATGGATAGATAGGTAGATAGGTTAATAGATCGATTTATTCCTTAAAAATTGAATGACAGCTGGCCATGGTGGCTCACACCTATAAACCCAAGCCGAGGCTGGCAGATCACTTGAGCCCAGGAGTTCGAGACCAGCCTGGGCAACATGGTGAAACCTCATCTTGACAAAAAGATGCAAAAAATTAGCTGGATGTGGTGGCATGCACCTGTAGTCCTGCTACTTGGAAGGCTGAGGTAGGAGGATTGTTTGAGCCTGGGAGGTTTGAGTCTTCAGTGAGCCATGATCTTGCCACTGCACTCCAGCCTGGGTGACAGAGTAAGACCCTGTCTCAAAAAAAAAAAACTGAATGACAACTGTGTGTGTGTGTGTGTGTAACGTCTTGTAATTACTTGTCCTTTTCAAAACTTCTGAATCGATCTTGGATTCGATACTTGATCTACCATGCTTTGTATTATGGTGTTTATATGTTCATAAGGATGACTTGGTTGGAAGTACTTGAAAAGCCCAGATCACCAAAGCAAGATTAAATTGAGCTCATTAAAGCCAACATACATTTTAGGAGGATTTTTAGCAAGGTTTAAACATTTACAGTGCATATCATACCAGCCTTTCTTAGACCAGCAGAGGGCAATAAATACTTACAGGTGTAGTGGGAAATTCAGGCTAGAGTTTTCCATTCATAGTTGAGAGTTGAGGAAGATTAAAAATTACAGTTTTAGAACAATGTTCAGAATAAAGGAGCTTGTTTATTTTGCAGTGATAATAGGTGTATACAAATTGATTCATATCCTGCCTCACTTTCACAGTAAAAATGTCTGATGTGAGGAGTATTTGCTATGCCTGCATAGCTTTTTCCTTTAAAGCTATAAATACAAAGTTCTTTTCCAGCTTTATTCTAGAAAATGGAAGAGATTCCTGTGAGCACTTATGGGAAGCTGTTAAGTCCCCTACTAATACTTTTCTCTCTGGAGTGTGATTGTTTTTTCCTGCCTAAAGGTATCCTTAAATTCTCCAATAATTGAGATTTTTCTCTTGTATTTCCTAGTAGTGTTCTGATGTCAGAGGCCTCAGGTTTTGACCTTCTTAGGATAGAAGAACCTGTTAAGAACATATGCTAGATTGGGTTACCTGCCCTTTTGCCATTGAGAGTGAGAAGGCTAAACCTAATCTAGTGCCTTACATATAAACAGTTTACTCCACTAGCTCTTCCACCATTCAGTCTACTCAAAGTGCTGGATTAAAATGATTCTCACATCCCACATAAGCTATTAGTAAGTTTTAACCAGAACTCAAATGATACTTTTCACTGATTTTTTTTTTCCTTTTCATGGAACAAATGTTTGAGGATCTACTCTGTTCAAAGCACTATAAAGTCTAGTGAGGAAAAAGTAAGATATAAAATTTATCCTCAAGAGGCCTGAAGTCTAAGGGGAAATTAGATGAATATATTATGCAGTGGAAAAAATCCTACCCTGGGCTGGAGAGAGAGGGTCTTATAAAGGCATTTTACTGCAAGTTGGACATTGGCTGGATTCTTTTTTTAAGGAATGTTTTCCCTCCAATTTTTTTCTCTTGATATTGCCATTTTCGTACCAAGTACTCAGACTGAGTTCATGAGATTGGATCTAATATAAAGCTTCCTTCTAGGGTTTTGTTTTTCTGCCAATGTCTAGTTCCCTTGTATTTGATGGATAAAGCTAGATCATCTGCTTCAATAGGCAATACAGTGATAAAACTTGTTAGAATATATATGCTGTCTATATCCATTTGACCACTAGAAATAACAAGAGCCAAGTAATTTGGTTTTTTTCCTCTGGCAGTGGCTATTTTCAATGGACACCAGAACTCTACCTTTTATGTAAAATCCAGCCTTAGTCCAGATGACCAGTTTTTAGTCAGTGGCTCAAGTGATGAAGCTGCCTACATATGGAAGGTAAGTTGCTAAACTTCACCCACAAGTGTTAGACTGAAGTATTCTTGCAAATATTTGTTCTGTCCAATATGAGATAAGTTTAATGTAACCACGTGCTATACTATTCCTGCATCAGATATTTAGTAAAGGTTGCTCTTGGCTCTTAATATAGCTGAAACCTTACTCTACTACAGAATGTATGACACTTTCAGGGCCATAGCTTGTCAGAAATTGACAATTTGTATCCTCTGTTTCAAAAATTATTAGGAAATTGAGAATTCAGAGGGTGATAAGAACCTTAACTACTTTGTCCTGCATCCTGGAAAACATGCTATACTGACTTTCTGCCCTATGTTTTCAAACTCTCGTTCAGAATACAGTATTTTGATCCCTAGGATCCTGTGCTTGAATCACCCATGGAGCCTTGCACAAAACAGAAACTCAAAAATATTTTTATGATTAATTTATTCTTTATTCTCTCCTTACAAGTAGCTGATCTTCAGGCCACTAAAGTAGATATGGCTGCTTTATCAGATTTTTATATATTTAATAGCATTATTTACTAATCTTTTTTTTTTTTTTTTTTATTGAGATGGAGTCTCACTCTGTCGCACAGGCTGGAGTGCAGTGGCACGATCTTGGCTCACTGCAAGCTCCGCCTCCCAGGTTCACGCCATTCTCCTGCCTCAGCCTCCCGAATAACTGGGACTACAGGTGCCTGCCACCACGCCCGGCTAATTTCTTTTGTATTTTTAGTAGAGACGGGGTTTCACCATGTTAGCCAGGATGGTCTCGATCTCCTGACCTCGTGATCCGCCCAACTTGGCCTCCCAAAGTGCTGGGATTACAGGCATGAGCCACCATGCCTGGCCAATAATCTTTTAAATAACTTTTTTAATAACAGTAGTTCTAAAGTGTCTACTGTAAGCTAAGAAATTTAAAGCTGTCCATTTGAAGTCCAGTGGAGAAAATAAAAATGTTAGACAACAGGTAGCACTTGCTTATTACTGAAAAATGTCTCTTGAAGGAATAATTAATTATGGAAATGTTCTGGGAATTCAGAGAATGATCATTAAGGCATTGTTTACCCATGACTAAGAATTAATTATCTTCTAGATTTCCCTGTAACTTCATAAATGTCTTTGACATTGGTGAATTGAATGATTAGAGTTCACATATTTTGGGTTTTAAAGTCATAATGTCTAAAACTTCATAGATCCCATAGTTCCGATAGTATCAAATCCCTTCTCAAGAGAAAGTTATATCATTTTTTATCCTGCCAAGCTCTAGAAAGTAATATTGCTAATTTTTTTTAGGACAGGGGTAAAACCTGTTTAGTATGAAGCATAATTCTTCAGCTTAATTTCTTCCAATCCTGAGGGAAGTACAAAAGAAAAGTGATTTCTATATAACTGGAGTTGTGAAAATGCAACACTACTTTATTAAAATTTTACTAACAATATCCTAAATAGTCACAGGGTGGAAATATTGCTCTATCCAAGATGCTTCTATGTTGGGCCTGCCTTTTTCTACAAGCATATTTCTTTCTTTTGTTATATTTTTAAATGCCTATAAAGTATATACTTGACTCCATCACAAGATGGAGTTTCCTCTTTATAATATTCTTCTTACTTGAGATTTTAAGTTTAACAATGTTATGTCGCTGGCACTAATGCTCTGTCTTATATTTAAAATTTTCAGTTTCAAATTTGGTCTTAATGCTTATTTTGCTACCTTTTTCCTTTCTTCTTTGCTCACTGTCTTGCCTATGTTTCCTTCTCCACTTTGGCTCCCAACTTAACTAGAGGATTTTATTCCTACCACAGGTCTGTATCTTTTAAGGTTTGTTTCTTGTTAAAAAAAAAATTTTTTTTTCCAACATCACAAAAAGCATATAAGAATAATTCAAAAAATACTTATGTATTGATCATTCTTGTTAAATTATTAAGTTTTAATTATATGTACATAATTATGTATACAATTACATGTGTGTTGTATAGTTTCTTGATAGTTTTTAAATTCTTAATAAATTTTTAAATTATATATATACATAATTATGTGTATAATTATATATTATGTGTATCTTGTGTAAAGTTTTCTTGACAATTGTTAAAGTTCCTTCCTCTTCTCTAGTGCAAAGGCCTTTTTAAGATTTTGTTTCAGGGAATGAAGGTTGTGGGAATACTTGCCTTTAAAGATATACACTAAATATAGTTGGCCATTGTTTCTAAGCCATTTTCAGACAACCAATCAGTGTCTACCACATACAAGGGTTACCCTTTTTTAATTCCTAGGCTGGGTCACATGTCAGTGTTGAATGACGTGGTTCAGACGTGATGTTCTTCTGCCTGTCCACACATAACTCGGTGTACAGGCTCTGATATTTGAGATCCTGGCAAGCTTGCACCTCCTAAATTTGAATTTGCCTAGTGAGGTGGCTCAGTTTCTCTTTTCCATGATTAAAAAAAGGAGGAGTGGTATTTTAAGAGCAATTCCATTCAAGCTGAGTATCCAGGCTGTTAGATTGCTCTTCTACGTGTTCAAAAAGTCAGAATTCTCTTAAGTATTAGAATTTTTTCTATGCTAAAAAGCCAAAAGCCCATGGGCACAAGAAAACAAAATAGAAGGGAGTTTTGTATCTTAAGACAGAAGAGAATGGCCTCTTAATCCTCACTACTGCCCAGCAAAGAGGAAATATAATATATTCGGGCTGATATTGAGGCCCAAGACTTAAAAAGATTTAATATTATACCTTTTCTTTTTAATTTCCTAACTATTGTCTCACCCCCACCCCATCCTCTTTTCTCTGGTTTGTTTCTGATATAGCCACTGAATAGCATCGAAGTGGTTATAAATAAACTGATTTGGCATAGTCATTCTACCACTGACTGGTGAAACGTTGAGCCTGACACTTTAGGAAGTGTAAATGATCTCATGGCAGAAATAAAGATTAGACTTGGTTTCCAACTGGGCAGAGAAGAGATTTTGTGAGGAAAAGTGCTGATATTCTTTGTATGTTTCAGTACACAAAATAACTTTATGACATCTGTAAGTTAGAGCCACTTACTTCTAGAGGTACCTTCTTAGTTCTAGGAGATTTAACTTTGGGATTCCTTGTGCCTTGAATTAAAGTCTTTATTTTACAAAAAGTAGAATATGTAAGAGAGGACAGTCTTCTGTGTCTGAGCATCTCCAAAATGCATGGATATAAATGTCTCTTAGACTTAATAGTCGCCTTCCTACTTAAAAGGGAAAGGAAGCTTTAAAAAATGAAGTTACGTAATTATGATAGTGTTCTTATAATAATGTAGGGACAATAAATAAAAATTTATTTGAATAAAAATGAAGGATTTAAAAGCCACCTGAATCTCATTAGAAGGAATGAATCTTTCTTGAAGTAGTCATACTATACCCTAGGATAGTCCTAAACTATCAAAGCATAAAAGTTCATAAAAACGTGTTAGACATTAGTTTCTCATTTTAACCCATAACACGCCCTTCCTCCCATTTTTCCTTATTCAGATAGAATTCATATAACATATAATTCACCATTTTAGTCATTTTAAAGTTTACAATGGAGTAGTTACTATTGTAATCACAGTGTTGTACCAACATCACCACTATCTAATTC
Source organism: Homo sapiens (assembly GCF_000001405.40). Lineage (NCBI taxonomy): Eukaryota > Metazoa > Chordata > Mammalia > Primates > Hominidae > Homo > Homo sapiens. The sequence continues at coordinate 212,075,824 of NC_000001.11, forward strand.
CCAAACATCATCACACCAGAAAAAAACCCGTGTCCTTTAACAGTCACTCTCTAATCCCCTCTTCCTCCCCAACACCTGCTAAACTACATTCAGTCTCTATGGATTTGCTATTCTAGACATTTCATATAAATGGAATCATACAAAATCAGCATTTTGTGTGTGACGTCTTTTACTTAGCATAATATCGAGGTTCATCCATGTTATAGCATGTGTCAGTACTTACTCCTTTTTATGACTGAATAATATGCCATTGTGTGGATAGACCACATTTTGTTTATTCATTCATCAGTTGATGGACATTTGAGCTGTTTCCATTTTTTGACATGAATAAAGCTGCTGTGAACATTTGTGTATAAGTTCTTGTTTAACATAGGTTTTTAATTCTCCTGGGAGTGTAGGAACAGAATTCGATTCCTAAGAATAGAATTGCTGGGTCATATAATTGTTTAACTTTCTGAGGAAACTTCCCCCCACTTTTAATGCTATGTAAAGTGCCTGGCTTAGACTTTTACTGTCGTCATTGATACCTTGTTAACGTATTCCAAAATGTTTTTCTAATGGGTCTCTTTCTTTTTTCTCTGAAACCCTATAGATAAATGCAAAAATGTGCATATATTCTATTGGTGGGTATTTAGGGGGTTTTTTGAAACTTATTTTAACCCTTGGTGTACACATTTAGGTTCTCCTAGGTATTATAATACAGAAACTGAGAAAGGACCAATATCATGAAATTAAAAAGCTATAGGCAATAAGCAGGGTGAATCAATGGAAGACAATAATGTATTTCTACCAGGGATGCTCAGTAGGACTTGAGGATTTCCTCTCCCTTCTAATTTGCTGCTACCAGACCTGTTTGGACCTTGGGTGAAGAGAAACTTAATCGACTGGGGCCATCCCAAACAGAGGAGGAAAGGAAAATTTCTGTGACTACTGGGATAGTTAGAGACGATCTTCAAAGTCTTTTCTAAAATATGTTACATTGTGAAAGAATGAATTATCTCTGTGCCATTGTAGGAGTAGGCAGTAAGTGAGATTCCTGTAGATGTGGAAAAAGCTTCCTTTCTGATAAATTTTAATTAACTCTGCAAGACAAGTTAGACTCTGCTCTTTGTCTTCTTTTGCTTTTTTAATTATTGCATATGTACCATTTAAGCCAAGAGAGGAGTATTAATGATTGAGTTGAATAACCTTATCAGTCAGTGTGTCAGATCTCTTAACCATAATCTGGGGGAATCTATTAAGTTTACTTAGTCATTCTCACAAATAATCATTCCAGAGTCACCTCCACTTTCTTCATACAAATGAGCCATGATTCAGAGCCTCAGGAAAATGAAAAGAGAATAACTTCTCTCAGCCCCAACCTCCTTGCTCTTTTGAAACACACATGCTAATAATAGTTATGTGTGTTTGTACTCGTTATTGTGCTGATTAATTCCCATGGCCTATGAAAGAGATTGACATCTCTTGAATGAGTCAGCTGTATGATGCTGTCAAATGTACATAACTGGTGGCATCTGATGATGGAAAAATATGATTCTTAGTCACATGTACAGGACAGTACAATGTGACCCTTCTTTCTGCATTAAAATATATTAAAATGCGAGTGACACTTACTTGAAAATTCAAAACTTCTCTCAGAAAATTAACTGAAATATAGTTTTAGAGGAAAAAAATGTTTTTCAGAAAGGATACCAAAGTGCCATGTAAAATATAGTTTATACCCCTTCAGAATGAAGGTTATCCAACTCAAAATGAAGGAGTATAACTTTGGGTTTTGTAAAAGTTAGTGACCAGCTCTGTTGGGACAAGAGGACGGTCTTCTTTTGGAAGGAAGACCATCATCTTGTCCGAAGAGAGCTGGTAGCATGTTTCAGAAATCTTCAGGTTTCACAGTTAATTTAGTGTTCCTAGAAGTAGCTGACTAGGGATCTGAAGATATATATGCTGTGTAAAAACAGGACTGAGTTGTCGAGTTGACTACTTAAGGATGGATAACATCCTTCCAGAAAGTTTACCACCTAAGGAATAAGGGACAATGCCAGTCTTGAATTTTAGTCAAAATATATATGGCTAGGTTGTCCTGATATGAAATAAGGACTATCCTTGTGTGTAAGCTCATGTTATTTACTTATTTTGACTGTTTTCATTGTGTTTTCTCAGATTAGTAACAGAAATATTTCATTGCCCATTGGAAATCTGTTGTTTTTTTTTTCCTAACTATAGCTAGGCAGGTCTAGTGGCCTTTGGTAACAATCCTAAAGCTCTCTAAGACACACTTCTGAATTCAAAGGCCTCTATCTGGGAAATCTAATATTGCTTTGCTGACTTGTTTGTTTTTGATTGGACTAGGTCTCCACACCCTGGCAACCTCCTACTGTGCTCCTGGGTCATTCTCAAGAGGTCACGTCTGTGTGCTGGTGTCCATCTGACTTCACAAAGGTTTGTAAATGAATCTCTATAGTTGGTTTAAAATGTAGATCACAGGTTTGTAGGTTTTTCTAAGGTTTGTTTTGAGAATGATATAAATTTTTATGTTTAAGTTGAGATTTTAAAGACCTAAAGGCCATCCAGGATCTATATTCACATTACTCAGGCATATTCTGCTTTTCTCTACCCATACCATAATGGTATTATGCCCTGTGAAATAAGGATAGATTTCTGGTTCCCTACAGTTATTTCTTTCCTAAATGTAGGATTAAGTTGTTAACTTAATTAAAATTTTCTATTAAAATCTAAGATAAAAATACAATCTAAGGTGAGAACTAGTCTTTTTTACTTTTTAGATATTATCAATGTAGTATATTAAAGGTAACATCTTGACAGCCCAATTTGGGTTTTCACATATGGCTAACAAAATGGTAACTGTGAAGTCTTAACATGTTAGGTTATCTATTGCTTAAACTATGTAAGTAGGTCTGAAATGTTTTAGATACTCCAGAAAGAAGACAATATGCCCACCTTTTAATTTTTTTATAGTGACACTTTAAGAAACAAAAAAACCCTAAAATGTAGAAAGGCCAGAAACATTAAAAACTATGTATCTATTGGAATTGCATATAATAGTAGCTCAAGTTCCAGTCATTCTCCCAAACCCCATTGCCTCTGGTCTTTGAGTTATTCTGGGTTCTACAGGAAATCTTATTTCTGTGGAGGTCTCCCCTTTCACGTATGACGTTTTGAGGTTTTGTTGCCTATTGTTCCCATCTGTTTTTTATCTTCCAGAAACTTCTCATGGTCTGGTCTATTTGTGGCATCCCTGCTAGCTTCCAGTATTGCTGTGGATTTCTCCTTATTGTTACCATTTCTGTGCTCAACTTCATGGCAGACCTTTTCTTTTTTTTTAAGTCATTACTTTAATCACCCAAAATTACATATTAATGATATTTTTTCCTCTGAGATTCCATGTAATTTCTTTTAACATGGAGGGTTGCATCTTCATGGGACTTACTAAGTTGAATGATTTTTGAATTATTCAGTTAATTATGTTATCTTTTTTTCAATTGTCATATATTATCCTTACCCCTATGCATCTCAAACATCATATATTAATTATCCTTATTTCCTGTGCTCAAAGGAAATAGCAGGGCTGTTTACCTATACTAATTTATTGGCTACTTTTTTAAGTCTTAAAAATAATTTCATCCCAAGCCTAGAATTAGGAAAGTAAAATATGGTTTGTGTTGTTTTTGTGTTTTTAATGTCTGGCATTTGGAATAGGAGAAAGCTGGGTTTAAATTCTAGCTCTTCCATTTGATTGTGGTTACTTTGGGCAAATAACTTTATTCCCATTTTGCATATGAGATTATTTGAGTACAAAGCTTTTAGAGTGTGAGAATTAAATAAGATAAAGAATGTAAACTACCAGACACATAGTAGGTGCTCTGCAAATAACTATTGTTAATAAACTATAGAAGAACTGTGAGATTCCAAACATTTCATATTGAACAGTTAAATATGTGTATCTTCTTTTGGCCTCCCAGTAAGGAAAGGAAAAAGCTGCCAGTCTCTTGGGGGCCAAGACTTAAGAGAACATGTATTCTTTTTTTCTTTCTCTTTAGTGACTGAAATAGAGAAATTATATAAACAAATGCTGGGGAACAGCTCTGGTACCAGTGGCCATTTGCCACAAGCTCTTCAAGCTGGACTTTCTCTGCCATAAAAGGCTTGGGACCAAGATCTAGAATAGTCAGATATTTTTAAAGGGACAAAGGTTATTTTTTAACTTCTTTCAGCCTAGGGAACTTGTTGTTTTCCCAGATTGCTCCTCTACCTATCTGAAAAAGAATCTCAAAAGGAATGGTTTCCTTCTACTTGTCACAGCCTACTAGAGTCATGGGCCAAGTCTGATCTTGCAAATGGTGCCATTACTTTAGCAATGTGGCACAACATGCAGAATTCAGAAGAAAGTTGTAGAAATTGAATGTTGGTAACATATACTGATTGATCATTTAACAGAAGAGTAAAAAGAGTGTCTTAACTACATATTTTGTATTTATACAGAAGATGATAAAGAGCCAGAACTTTAGATTAGATAAGAAATGACCAGTAACAAAAGACATACTAGTAGAATGTATATGAAGAATAAACTAAAGAGTCAGCTTTGTTGGAAATCTGGAATGATTCCTGAAAGCAAGAAATGGATGTACATGATCTTTAAGATATTATTTTCTATATCCTGTTTATTAGACAAAATAATTATCCAGTCACAAGGCCTTAAGACACACCTGTTTTTTAATGTATTTTGAATCTTGATTGAAATTTCTTAATTCCCTTCTTGGTACTCCCTCTTAGATTGCTACCTGTTCTGATGACAATACACTAAAAATCTGGCGCTTGAATAGAGGCTTAGAGGAGAAACCAGGAGGTGATAAACTTTCCACGGTGGGTTGGGCCTCTCAGAAGAAAAAAGAGTCAAGACCTGGCCTAGGTAAGGATATCATATACTTTCCAAGTTTTTTATGGTTTGACTAGTTTAGTCCGACAGTACAGAGTAATAAGCTAGATTTGATCTTGCTTTGGTATGTTTTTAAAGAAAAGCACTATCTTCTTGCCATTCATTCTTTTTGATAAGTATTTCCCAAGCACTACTATGTTTATCATTTACACAAGGTACTACAGTGGTGGATTTATTCAACAAATATTTCTTGAACACCCAGTATGTGCTGGGCCCTGTTCTTAGTTGCTAGGGATTCAGCAATGAACAAAAGAATAAAAAATCCTGAAGATGTAAATAGAGCTAACATATTAGTGTGAGAGGCAATAAACAAGATAAAAAAGTAAAATATATACTGTGTCAAATAACAATAAGGGCTTAGGAATAAAGGAAATAGGAAAGGGAGAAGGGCAAGGGTGAAATATGCTATCAAAATTTTATATTAGGTGACCAGGGGGGCCTCAATGAAAAGATGGCATTTGAGTAAAGAAAGTGAAGTAGTAAGCCATATAGATATTTTAAAGAAGAATATTCCAGGCAGATAAAAGTACACAGGCCCTAAAGCAGGAGCATGCTTGGCATATTTTCTCTTCCTCAGAGAGGCTAGCATGGCTGGCCCCTAGGGCTGCAGCAGGCAAAGGAAAGGGAGGGAATAGTAGTAGAAAATGAAATTCTGTGAGACTTTGGCTTTTATTTTGATAGACAAAAGTCCACCAGAGGGTTTGGAGCAGAAGAGTATCATAATTTGACTTTTAACTTGATCATTCTTGCTCCTGTGTTGAGGATAAATTGTAAGGGGGTCAGGGTAAAAGCAAAAAGCTACTTTTAAAAAGCCATTGAGATAATCCAGGAAGTGATGATGGTGACTTAGACCAGAGTAGTAGCAGAAGCTATGGTGAGAAGTCATCCAATTTTGGATATATTTACAAGACAGAGCCAACAGAATATGTTGAGGGATCAGATGTGGGGCTATATGGGAGAGTTATCAAGGATAACTTCAGAGATTTTGCTTAAGAAGCTGAAAAGATGGAGTGTCATTAACCTAGATAAATATCCCTGCAGGAAGAGCAAGTTTGGGAGGGAACAGCTGGAGTTCCATTTGGACATGTTGTTTGATATGATTATTAAACACCCAAATGGACATGTCAGGGAGGCATTTCGATGTTTAATTCTGCAGTTCAGGGTTGAAGTTGCAGATGTGAGGTTCATTATCACACAGGGTGAAGATAGCTATAGATAGAAAAAAATAGGCCTGGTGTCTTGGGGTACCCCGATGTTTAGAGGTTGAGGAGGTGACAAATACCATTAAAGCCTACTGAGCAGCCACAACCAGAGAAGTAAGAGAAAAACTGGGAGAGTGTTACATCCTGGAAGCCAAGTAAATAAGAGGAGAGAGGGATGAACTTGATTTGATGTTTCTGGTATACCAAATAAGGTGAGGCCTAAAAACTGACCAATGGATTAGGCAATCATAGGGGTTATTTGGTGACCTTAATGAGTGTTGTTTTGGTGGTATGATGGTGGCCTGATTGGTGTCATTCATGTATATGACTTGGGGACTACAAGTATAGACAGTTCTTTCAAGGAGTTTTGTTATAAAGGAAAGAAGAGAAGTGAAGTGGTAGCTGGAGAAAGAAGCAGGGTTGAAGTTTGCTGGGGTTTTTTTAAATAGGAATATAACATTTCACAGTGATTGGCAGGATCGTATAGAGAGGGGGAGATTGATGCAGGGGAATTTGCTGGAGCAATGTTAAGCATGAGGGGATACTATCTGATACACAGTAGGAGGGTAGGCCTTTGCCAGGAACATGGATAGTTGACCCATAGTAATTGGAGAAAAGGTGGAATATATAAGCATGGTGCAGGTAGGCTACTGAGAGATGGTGGGGAGAGAGGTGGAGAGATGAGATGGCCATAACTTACAGAAGCTTCCTTCTGTTCTGATGTTAAAACATGAATCAGGGTTATTAACTGCGAATGAGGATAAGGGAGAAAGGGAGTAGAGATTTTAGAAGAGATAAGAAAGTCTGAAATTGTCACTGAGAGAATAGAGGAATAAATGGACAGGAAAATATGATTGTTGGGCTTCAAGAGTCAACTTGAGGCTAGCAATAATTAATTGAAAGTGAGCACTCCACATGGTTGTGTGTTTGCTATGCAAGTACAAGTATACTATAGGTAGAGAGCTAGATTTAACCAGGGATGTGGTTTAGCAATGCAAGTGAAGAAGGAAGTTGACAGTGGATGCAAAGAGGATGATTATGACTATAAGATATAACCTTGGTAAGGAGGCATATTAGTCCATTTTCACACTGCTGATAAAGACATGTACAAGACTTGGCAATTTACAAAAGAAAGAGGTTTAATGACTTACAGTTCCACATGACTGGAAAGGCCTCACAATCATGGCAGAAGGCAAGGAGGAGCAAGTCACATTTTACATGGATGGCGGCAGGCAAAGAGAGAGATTGGGCAGAGAAACTCCCCCTTATAATATTGTCAGATCTCATGAGACTTATTTGCTGTCACGAGAACAGCATGGGAAAGACCTGCCCCCATTATTCAATTACCTCCCACCAGGTCCCTCCCACAACACATGGGAATTCAAGATGAGATTCAGGTGGGGACACAGCCAAACCATATCAGGAGGGAAGTAAGGACATAATGGGGCCAAGGGATAGTGTAAATGTGGTACTAGCAGTGGATTGAGGATAAAAGATTGTTGGAATTGAAATACTAAAGGGAGATGGGAAAATAAGTGGTGATGAGTGGGATGATTGAAATTAAGATAATGGAAGATTTCCAGGTATTGGTAATAATAAGGTAAAGAATAAGTGGCTTAGGAGAGTGAAAGGACAAGATTATAGAAGAAGGAGGTCAAAAAACTGAGAAACCAAGGTATTGGAAAGATCATGTACATAGATTTTTTAATCACCATAAATTGACAGATAATGTTGAAGAGAGTAACAATGAACCAAGAGCAAAAATCTTCAAGCAATGAGCCACCCACAGTGTGGATCCTCAGGGTATCATTAGATGTGCTGTATACTTGTACTTACATGGTAAACACACAACCTTGTGGAATGCTCACTTTCAATTAATTACTGCTAGCCTCAAGTTGACTCTTACTGGCCAACAATCATATTTCCCTGTCCATTTACTCTTATATTCTCTCAGTGACTGTTTCAAACTGTCTTATCTTTAAGCTTGAGTTTTAAGCTTAAAGATTCATTTTACTTCAGCCATCAAGGCCTAAGGTTAATGGGGAATTGAAGGTGAGAAAGGGAAAATATACAGGTTCATTTTTCTAAGGACTTATTTAGTTGCTTATAAGATGCAGAACTAGACTTCAGAGGAGTCTTTTGCTCTAAGTCTGGTTTCTGTAGTCTTTGATGGTGCTGCCTTATTTGTTTTTGCTCTTTGCTTTTTTTAATTTCTTTTTTTCTTTTCTTTTTTTTTTTTTGAGACAAAGTCTCACTCTTGTCGCTGAGCCTGGAGTGCAGTGGCATGATCTCAGCTCACTTATTCAAGCAATTCTCCTGCCTCAGCCTCCTGAGTAGCTGGAATTACAGGCGTGTGCCACCATGCCCAGCTAATTTTTGTATTTTTAGTAGAGATGGGGTTTCACCATGTTGGTCAGGCTGGTCTCGAACTCCTGACCTCAGGTGATCCACCCGCCTCAGCCTCCCAAAGTGCTGGGATTACAGGCGTGAGCCACCGTGCCCAGCCCTAAAAATTTTTTTTCATTAATTTAGTATTACAGTTTAATAAGTCAGCTAGTTCTACAACAGTGAATAAGATAAATAGCAGTCCACAGACCCTCTGCCTCATAGTTTCCCTTTCCCAGAGGCAACCTCTTTCAAATCCTTTTGCTGATTCTTTGATATGTATGTCTAGACCTCTAAATAGTTTTGTGCATTTCTATTTATTTTTTGCAATTTTCAGCTTTATTAACTTCTTTCCTTTGTAACATGAGGATTTAACTCCCTTTCCTGTGTCCCACCACTATCAAACCTTCATACTCCTCATCCTCCTAACACAGGGTCATGATTTTGGTTAAATCAAGATACAGCTCAGTTCCTTTTAGTATGCAGTTGTCCCTCAGGATCCATGGGGGATTGGATCCAGGAACCCCCAACAGATACCAAAGTCCACAGAAGCTCAGATTCATTATCTATGATGTAGTATTTGCCTATAACCTATGTACATTTTCCCATATACTTTTATCATCTCTAGATTACTTAAAATACCTGGTACAGTATAAATGGTATATTAATAGTTGTTGTACTATATCATTTAGGGAATAATGACAGGAAAGAAAAGTCTGCACATGTTTAGTACAGACACAACCATCTTTTTTCGTGTTTTTGTTTTAATATTTTCAATTTGTAGTCAACTGAATGCATGGCTGTGGAACCCAGTATACAGAACTCAAGATATAGAGAGTCAACTATATTTAGAGTTATGTAGTCATTAATACAATCTAATTCTAGAATATCTTCAACACCTAAAATGAGGGTTCCAATTTCTCTTATGTTCTTGTCAACATTTGTTATTGTCCATCTTTTTCATTATACCCATCCTAGCAGGTGTGAATTAGTGTCCCATTGTGGTTTTGATTTATATTTTCCTGATGGCCAGTGATGCTGAACATCTTTTCATGTGCTTATTGGCCATTTATATATTTTCCTTGGTGAAATGTCTATGCAGATCTTCTGCCCATATTCTAATTGGGTTATTTGTCTTTTTATTGTTGAGTTGTAAGCATTCTTTATATATTCTGGACATAAGTCCCTTATCATGTAATGATTTGCAATGATTTATTCTGTGGGTTGTGTTTTTACTTTCTTGATGGTGTCTCTTGACACATGTAACTTTATAATTTTGATGAAGTTCAGTTTATCTGTTTTTTCCTTTGTCACTTATGCTTTTGATGTTAAATCAAAGAAACTATTGCCTCTTCTGAGGTAACAAGGATTTACTCCAATGCTTTCTTCTAGTTTTTTAGTTTAGGCCTGTGATTCGTTTTGAGTTTATTTTTGTGTTATGGTGTGAGTTAGGCATTCAAATTTTTTACATATGGATATTTAACTTTCTCACCATCACTTGTTAAAGAGACTATTCTTTAGCCCATTGAATCGTCATGGCACCCTTGGTAAAAATCTGCCAAAAATCAATTGACCATAAATGTGAGGGTTTATTTCTGACTTCTCAATTCCATTGATCTATGTATCTGTCCTTATTATGGTTCTGCATTGTCTTCATTACTGTAGCTTTGTAGTAGGTTTTGAAATCCTACTTCTGTTTTCTTCTTTTATTTCAAGATTGTCTCGACTGTTCTGGGTCTCTTTTATACAAATTTTAGTTTCAGCTTGTCATTGTTTGCAAAATAGCCAGCTAGGATTTTGATAGGAATTGCAGTGACTGTGTAGATCAGTTATGGAAGTATTGACATCGTAATAATGTTAAATCTTCTGGTCCATGAACTTGGATGTCTTTCTATTGCCTGTCGTTATATGTACTTTTCTCTCTCTCATTTTAGAAAATATAAAAGAAAAGAATCATATGAGGCCATTAGAGAATACTGATTTTAAAAAAAAGTCATCAGTATTCCCTCCACTTTGACATAATTTTAAATGACATTTCCAGTTATTTTTTGAGGTTTTTCCCTTATACATAGAGATTCTTTTTAACAGAACCATAGTTGTACTGAATACGCATTTGATTTCTCTCAAGCCATCCTACCACTTCAGCCTCCCAATAGCTGGGACTACAGGCATGCACCACCACGCCTGGATAATTTTTGTATTTTTTGTAGAGATGGGGTTTCGCCATGTTGCCCAGGCTGGGCTCAACTATGAGCTCAAGCAATCCACCCACCTCAGTCTCCCAAAGTGCTGGGATTACAGGCATGAGCCACTGCACCCAGCCTTAAGTACTTTCTATGTTATCTTTTTTGCAACACTATTTCAAATACTACACTTGAGTAAATGTTCCATAATTTACCTAGCTATTCTACTGTAGTTTAAACATTTGTTTCAAATATTTTAAAACTTGGGGTTTTTTCCTCCCTGAATTTAGGGTCCCCCTTCCCATTAAAATAAGATTCCCAAAGGTGGAATTCTTGTGTTAATGACTATACCATTTCTTAAAATTTGTGATGAAAAGTATCTTGCTTTTAACTATGTACTTTTAGTGTGCCATTAATTATCCTTAGTATTAGAAGCCAAGTCACCAAAAAAGTTACATATTGACCAAATGTGAGTTGTAATAATAACAACGTTTAGCCACTATTGACTCCTAGCATAATTATTCTAAGGACCTACTTGGATTATCTCATTTAATTATGAAAACAACTGAAACTGAAGGTCAAGGAAGTTAGACTTGCTTAAAATCTCATAGCTATGAAGTTGTAGAACCAGAGTCTATAATTGAACCCTTGCAGTCTGATTCTAGAACACATGCTCAGAACCACTCTGCAGCACTGCCTTCTTTAGAACCTAACAGAGCAGGCTGGGTGCGGTGGCTCACGCCTGTAATCCCAGCACTTTGGGAGGCCGAGTGGGTGGATCACGAGGTCAGGAGATCGAGACCATCCTGGCTAACATGGTGAAACCCCGTCTCTACTAAAAATACAAAAAAAATTAGCCGGGCATGGTGGCACACGCCTGTAGTCCCAGCTACTCGGGAGGCTGAGGCAGGAGAATGGCGTGAACCCGGGAGGCGGAGCTTGCAGTGAGTGGAGATCACGCCACTGCACTCCAGCCTGAGCGACAGATCAAAACTCTGTCTCAAAAAAAAAAAAGAACCTAGCAGAGCAAGGCAAAAGTTCAGGTTAAGATCAGAGTAAGAGTTATGCCTAGATTACTCCATTTCTGGGTGATGCTAGGGTTACTCTGAAGAGCACTACGAAGCAACAACCTGACACGGGTTTTCAAAGGCTGGCACACTGACCATTCGACTCTCTAAGCCAGCTTCCAGCCACAGATTTGCTGCTTCTAATCACATTGCCATCTTGAAAATCATGTTCCCCTGCTTTCCCAAGCTTCTAATTGCCACGCCAACCTTTCATTGCTGTCCTGGGCTGCTTATCTTCACTTCTGGCCCTGGCTTGTAAACCCCCTCAGTTAACACATTAATTGGAAGGGTTTAAGTGCTAAGACATAGCCTCTTTTTCTCCTGCCCTACCTTTCCCAGCCGGCACCTGCTTCATTGCTTACCACTCTTTCCCTATGTTTTAGCCAGAGATCTCATAGCACTGTTGAAACCAATAGTCCTCAATCTTGGCTATGCATCATAGCTACTTGGGGAGCTTTTCAAGTCCGTGTATCCCCAGTGATTGATTCAATGGGACTGGACCTGTATTTTTACAAAGCTCCAAGGAGGTCTGTTATGTAGCGAGGATTGAGAACCTCTGGTTTAGGCATTATTGAGTGATAAAGTTGATTATCCTTATCCTAAAGAGAAGGAAACCCTACCTATTCTGCCTCAGTTGCTTGCTGCAGTCTCACAAGTCAGCAGGATAATTATAGAGTCAATTTTCTGATCCCTAGAACCTCACCTGTATCCTTGTCAGCAGTAATGAAACTTAACAAACATTGTTTAATAATTCCTTACTACGCACTATAGGGGCACTGGGCCTAAAGATGAGTAAACCATTATTAGCTGCCCTCGAGGCTCACAGTCTAGTCTAGGAGGCAGATTCAAAAACTATAGCACACAGCCATTAGCTGTGTAAACAAGGGGCTCTGAGAACCTACTTCCCCTGTGAGAGGAGAGCTCTGTGGGAGAAGAGGAAAGAAGTTGTGAATTCTTCACAGTGGAGTTAACATTGTCATCAGAGCCTTGAAACATGAGAAGAATTTCTGCCTGGCAAAGGAGGAGCTGACTTGGCAAGAAAACCACATGAACAAAGAAATGTGACAGTACACAGCTTGTTCAGGAAGCAACTAGTAGTGTCCTGTAACGTGATCCTAGAATAGCAAAGTACATGATAAGACTGAAAAGGCAGGCTGAGGCCAGATGGCAAACTCATATAGAAAGAAGCTGGCTGGGCACGGTGGCTCACGCCTGTAATCCCAATACTTTGGGAGGCCGAGGCAGGCGCATCACCTGAGGTCAGGAGTTCGGGACTAGTCTTGCCAACATGGCAAAACCCCATCTCTACTAAAAATACAAAATTAGCTAGGCATGGTGGCACACGCCTGTAATCCCAGCTACTCGGGAGGCTGAGGCAGGAGAATTGTTTGAATCCAGGAGGCAAAGGTTGCAGTGAGCCGAGATCATGCCACTGCACTCCAGCCTGGGCGACAAGACAAGACTCCGTCTCAAAAAACAAAGAAAGAAGCTGCAAACTGTTAGTAGACTCTGTATAATTCTTCGAAGGAACTGACTTTAGGAAGCATTTAGGGCAATAACTCAGTCTATGCTACCATGTCATCAAATCTCATATATTGCTTAAGGTCAATAAGGAGTTAGTCCACTTAAGTAGATGAAGTACTAAAGAAAATGGCATGCCATATTTAAATGTGTAGGCCCATATAATGGCATGCTATGCACCTGTTAAAAATAATGCAATGCATCTATGTGTACTTACATGAAGAGACGTAAAAATAAAAGAGCAAATGGCAGAACATGTACAGATATATATATAGTATAATCCATTTGTATTTTGGGGTTTTTTAAGGTCTGATACATATATACCTTTGTATGTGCTAAATAGGCACAGAGAAAATTGCGGAATGCACAAGAATGTAAAAGTGAAATGAAAAAGTTGAAAAGAGGATCCTGTTTCCACCCTCTTCCCCTCTGTACTGGTTGAATTTTTTTACCATTAACTTTCATACTGTTATAATGTAGTTACTGTTTAAAAAACATATACACACACTTAAATTTGACCCAGCATTTGCTAACCTTCAAAGCTAACAAAATTTCTTTGACCCCCATGGACCACTTCCTCTTTCACCATGACATCCTGAAGGAAGAGGAAATGCCCCAACTTTCCAACACATCAATTTCATACCAGCCTTATCAGTAAATACTCCAGTGTGTGCCATGCAAGTTTCAGAAACCTAGATACCTGGTTTGTCCCTGTCCCAGCTCTTCCTTCTTCCCCAATCCTGCCTTGTTAATCGGCATATTATAGGACTCATAAAATTTTAGGACTTTCTGCCCTAAATGTACACTTTGACCCACTTAAATGGAACAGATGACTGTGGCAGCTGTGCAGTGACTATTAACCTGCACCGAGGAGTGCAGCAAATGAAAACTTCCTTTTCTGCTGAAAAAAATAGCTGTTATCAAGCTCTAGAGCGTTAGTGTGAGAACCATAACCAGAGGTTTCATGAATAGGTCCCTGTTACTAAGTCCTTTTCATGGCATCTTATGACAAAATGGGGTTTTTCAGTAATTATCCTTATTAAAAGAGCAGTATCATTTTGGCTGGTTCTAAACATATGGTTGATGAGAAAAGTTTAGGCAAAAGTCAATTTGTAGAATTTCTCTCTCTCAAGGCAAGACTGCTTTAGGAGTGAAAAACACAGGGTAAAAAAAGGACAGGATAATTAACTGACTAAAGTGAGTACTTGCCAATCTTTATTTATGCTAAAAGAGAGATTGCATTTTTATATCAGCCCATCCTAAATTCAGCTGGATATAAATGCAATTAGGTAATTAAACTGAATTAAAAATTATAGTTAACAATTCAAAGGCTTTGTGACTGAGAATAAATAAATACCCTTGTTATTTGAAGACAGGAATGCTATTTCAGCAATCTAGAAAGCTCAGAAGGAAATTGAGAAAGTGTTGTCTGTGGTAGGGCCCGAGAGGGAAGAAGCATGAAGTTCATAAAAATTTGCCTGAAGTACTTGCCATTGTATGTAAACAAAGGGACAGGTACACATACAGAAGTCCTATTTACTAAGTTTGATTTGATTTACAGAGAGCAAGCACTGAGATTCTGAATGTTTTTTGCCTTGTGGAAAATAGTAGTCATTTGTAAAATAAAGTGGGAAGCCATGTGAGGCCTGATAACCTTAACAAATAATTGATTGAATGGCTTCTTGTGAAAAGAAAAACTATCTCCTTTAACAGATATAGAATCTGAGTCCAAAGAGATAAAGGGTTATGCCCAAGTCACATAGTAAGTGATTGTGCCAGGTTTTAGATCTGTGCATTCCTGTTTGAGAGCCCCTGTGCAGTGCCTTTCTGCCCTAGCATTGCTCAACAGTTTATATAAGAATGCTAATGGCAGCGTTAAATGTGTTGTAGAATACCTATACCTTAGAATACATTGTAGCTATTAAAAATGATAAATCTGTATTAATGTGGGAAATGTTCACAATATATTAAGAAGCAGGTTATTCCTAATTTTAAAATGGACAAAGGGCCTGAATAGACATTTCTCAAAAGAAGACATACAAATGCCCAACAGGTATATGAAAAACTGCTCAGCATCACCAATCATCAGGGAAATGTAAATCAAAACCACAATGAGATATCCCCTCACACCTGTTAGGATAGCTTTTATCAAAAAGACAAAATGTAACAAGTATTGGTAAGGATGTGGAGAAAAGGGAACCCTTGTACACTGGTGGGAATGTAAATTAGTATAGCCATTAAGGAAAACAGAATGGCAGTTTCTCAAAAAATTGAAAATAGAACTACCATATGATCCAGCAATTTCACTTTTGGGTATATATCAAAAAAAGTGATCGCAGTATGTGGAAGCGATACCTGCACTCCAATGTTCACTGCAGCACTATTCACGATAGCCAAGATATGGAATCACCTAAGTATTCATCAGATAAAGACAATATGATGTATATACACAATGGACTACTATTCAGCCTTGAAAAAGAAGAAAGTTAATGTCATTTGCAACAACAGGGATGAACCTGAAAGACATTATGCTAGGAGAAATAAGCCAGACAGAGAAAGACAAATACTGCATGATCTCACTTGTGGAATCTTAAAAAGTTGAACTCATAGGAGCAGAGAGTAGAATAACGTACTATGTACTTGAAAATTGCTGAGTAGATTTTAAATGTTCTTACCACAAAAATATATGAAGTGATGTTAGTTGGCTTGATTTAATCATTCTACAATGTATGCATGTATCAAAACATCACATTATAGCCTATATACACAATAAAAATAAATTTGCTTGAGATAAAATATTACGAAATAGTATATATATAGTGATCTCTCCTTTTTTAAAAAATTTCAATAGTTTTGGGGGAACCAGTGATGTTTGATTACATGGATAGGTACTTTAGTGGTGATTTCTGAAATTTGGTGCACCCATCACCCAAGTGGTGTACGCTGTAACCAATGTGTAGTCTTTTATCCCTTACCTCCCTCCCACCTTGAGTCCCCAAAGTCCATTGTATCATTCTTATGCCTTTGCGTCCTCATAGCTTAGCTCCCACTTATAAGTGAGAACATACGATGTTTGGTTCCATTCTTGAGCTACTTCACTTAGAATAATGGTCTCCAGGCCAGGCGCAGTGGCTCATGCCTGTAATCCTAGCACTTTGGGAGGCCAAGGCAGGTGGATCACCTGAGGTCAGGAATTCAAGACCAGCCTGGCCAACATAGTAAAACCCCCCTCTACTAAAAATACAAAACTTAGGTGTGGTGGTGCATGCCTGTAGTCCCAGCTACTTGGGAGGCTGAGTCAGGAGAATTGCTTGAACCTGGGAGATGGAGGTTGAGGTTGTAGCAAGCCAAGATCGTGCCACTGCACTCCAGCCTGGGTGACAGAGCGAGACTCCGTCTAAAAAAAAAAAAAGATAATGGTCTCCAACTCCATCCTGGTTCCTGCAAATGCCATTATTTCAATTCCATTTTATGGCTAAGTAGTATTCCCTGGTATATATATACACCACGTTTTCTTTATCCACTTGTTGATTGAAGGGCATTTGGGCTGGTTCCACATTTTTGCAGTTGCAAATTATGTTGCTATAAACATGCATGGGCAAGTGTTTTTTTCATATAATAACTTTTTTTCCTCTGGGTAGATACCCAGTAGTGGGATTGCTGGATCAAATGGTAGATCTACTTTTAGTTCTTTACAGAATCTCTGTACTGTTTTCCATAGTGGTTGTACTAGTTTACATTCCCACCAGCAGTGTAAAAGTGTTCCCTTTCCACCACATCCACCCCAATGATGGCCATTCTTGCAGGAGTAAGGTGGTATTGCATTGTGGTTTTTATTTACATTTCCCTGATTATTAGTGATGTTGAGCATTTTTTCATAAGTTTGATGGCCCTGTGTATATCTTTTTTTTGAGAATTGTCTATTCATGTCCTTAGCCCACTTTTTGATGGGATTATTTGGTTTTTTTTCCTTGCTGATTTTAAAACTGGAAAAGTTCCCTTGTCCCCCTTGCAGGGCGTGCGATGAGGGTGTGGCTTCCTTCTTCAATGCCCCGGTGCTCAGACCTCTACGGGAGCATACAGATGGGCAGGCTGTAGGGCTCCGACCCCACAGCAGTGTCTGGGGGTGAATGTTTATAGCTCCTGAAGCCCCAGTGGGCGTGTGTTACAGTGTGCTCTTTTAGTTTTGCTGTCTATAGGCGGCTTGTGTTAACCAGCTCTATTAGACCCCTGCCTTATCGCAAGGACAGAGGGCTTTCTGTATCCCGGGGTTCTTGCCTTGGTGTACCAGAAGACTCGGATCACATGTGGGCTTGGAGAATTTGAGTGCAAGGTTCCACTGAGCAGAAGTAGCTTTCCGCGGATGGGGGAGCCAGAAGGGAAATGGCTTTCCCCTGGAGTTGGGCCCTTGGCGGCCCCAGTTCTCCTCCGACTGCCCCGACCAAACTGCATCATTCCACCGGTTGATGCCCTGCTGGCCTGCCGGCCTGCCTATGCCTGTCAGTGTGCTCTTCTGCCAGCGTGCTTCTCAACGTCTGCTTGACGACCAGCCACTTGTGTCTTTCTCTGCCCATGTGTTCCTCACAACATCCAGCCACCATGTGTTCCTGCTAGGGTCTTGGGGGTTTTTATAGGCACAGGATGGGGGCGTGGCAGGCCAAGGTGGTCTTGGGAAATGCAACATTTGGGCAGGAAATGCCTGTCCTCACCTAGGTCTGTGGGGATGGAGCCCTAGCCAGGGATCACACCTTCTTCTGCCCAACACTTCCCTTCCCCCATTCCGTATCATTTAAAGGGACCATGCTCTTCCCTTCCCAGCACTCCCGTATCAATTTTTTTGAGTTCCTTGTAGATTCTGGATAATAGTCCTTTGTTGGTTGCATAGATTGTGAAGACTTTCTCCCACTCTGTGGGTTCTTTGTTTACTTTGCTGATTATTTCTTTTGCTGTGCAGAAGCTTTTTCGTTTAATTAAGTCCCATCTATTTATCTTTGTTTTTCTTGCATTTGCTTTTGGGTTCTTTGTCATGAACTCTTTGCCTAGGCCATGTCTAGATGAGTTTTTCCCATGTTATCTTCTAGAGTTTTTATGGTTTCAGGTCTTAGATGTAAGTCTTTGGTCCATCTGGAGTTGATTTTTGTATAAGGTGAGAGATGAGGATCCAGTTTCATTCTCCTACATGAGGCTTGCCAGTTATCCCAGCACCATGTGTTGAATAGGGTGTCCTTTCCCCACCTCATGTTTTTGTTTGCTTTGTTGAAGATTATTTGTCTGTAAGTATTTAGTTTTATTTCTGGGTTCTCTGTTCTATTGCATTGGTCTATGTGCCTATTTTTATACGAGTACCGTGCTATTTGAGTGACTATAGCCTTGTAGTGTAGTTTGAAGTCAGGTAATGTGATGCCTGCAGATTTGTTCTTTTTGCTTAGTCTTGCTTTGGCTATGTGGGCTGTTTTTTGGTTCCATATGACTTTTCAGATTGTTTTTTCTAGTTCTGTGAAGAACGATGATGGTATTTTGATGGGAATTGCATTGAATTTGTAGATTGCTTTTAGCAGTATAGTTATTTTCACAGCATTGATTCTACCCATCCTTGAGCGTAGGTTGTGTTTTTCCATTTGTTTGTGTCATCTGATTTCTTTTAGCAGTGTTTTGTAGTTTTCCTTGTAGAGGTCTTTTACTTCCTTAGTTAGGTATATTCCTAGGTTTTGCAGCTATTGTAAAAGGGGTTGAGTTGTTGATTTGATTTGCAGCTTGTTTGCTGTTGCTGTATAGCAGTACTACTGATTTATGTACATTGATTTTGTATCCTGAAACCTAACAGAATTCATTTATCAGATCTAGGAGCTTTTTGGATGAGTTTTTAGGGTTTTCTAGGTATACAATCATATCATTTACTAACAGTGACAGGTTGACTTCCTCTTTACCAATTTGGATGCCTTTTAATTTCTCTTTTCTGACTGACTGTGGCTGGCTAGGGCTTCCACTACTATGTTGAATAGAAGTGGTGAAAGTGGGCATCCTTGTCTTTTTCCAGTTCTCATGGGGAATGCTTTCAACTTTTCCCCGTTCAGTATAACGTTGGCTGTGGGTTTGTCATGGATGGCTTTTATTACCTTCAAGTATGTTCCTTCTATGCTGATTTTGCTGAGTGTTTTCATCATAAAGGGATGCTGGATTTTGTCAGACGTTTTTTCTGCTTCTATTGAAGTGATCATGTGTTTTCGTTTGTTTTTCTCTTAGAGTTTCGCTCTTGTTGCCCAGGCTGGGGTGCAGTGGTACCATCTCAGCTCACTGCAACCTCCACCACCCAGGTTCAAGGGATTCTCCTGCCTCAGCCTCCCAAGTAGCTGAGATACCACATCTGGCTAATTTTTGTATTTTTAGATGGGGTTTCACCATGTTGGCCAGGCTGGTCTCAAACTCCTGACCTCAAGTGATCTGCCCTCCTCGGCCTCCCAAAGTGCTGGGATTACAGGCATGAGCCACCGCACCCGGCCTGATTTTTGTTTTTAATTCTGTTTATATGGTGTATCACATGTATTGACTTGTGTATATTAAACTTTCCCTGCATCCCTGGTTTGAAATCCATTTGATCATGGTAGATTATCTTTTTGATATACTGTTGGATTTGGTTAGCTAGTATTTTGTTGAGGATTTTTGCATCTATGTTCATCAGGGATATTGGTCTGTAGTTTTCTTTTTTGTCATGTCCTTTCCTGGTTTTGGTATTAGAGTGATACTGGCTTCATAGGATGATTTAGGGAGTATTCCCTCTTTCTCTTTTGGAATGGTTTCAGTAAGATTGGTACCAGTTCTTCTTTGAATGTCTGATAGAATTCAGCAGTGAATCCATCTGGTCCTGGACTTTTTCTTCTTGGCAATTTTTTTATTACCATTTCAATCTAAGTGCTTGTTATTGGTCTGTTCAGAGTTCTTATTTCTTCCTGGTTTAATCTAGGAGGTTGTATATTTCCAGGAATTTATCCATCTCCTCTAGGTTTTCTAGTTTGTGAGCACAAATGTGTTCATAGTAGCCTTGAATGATCTTTTGTATTTCTGTGGTATTCGTTGTTAATATTTCCTGTTTCATTTCTAATTGAACTTATTTGGATCTTCTCTCTTCTTTTCTTGGTTAATCTCACTAATGGGCTATCAATTTTGTTTATCTTTTCAAAGAACCAGCTTTTTGTTTCATTTATCTTTTGTATTTTGTTGTTGTTGTTTCATTTTTATTAAGTTCTACTCTGGTCTTTGTTATATCTTTCCTCCTCCTGGGTTTGGGTTTGGTTTGTTCTTATTTCTCTAGTTCTTGAGGTGTGACCTTAGATTGTCAATTTGTGCTCTTTCAGACTTTTTGATGTAGGCACTTAATGCTGTGAACTTTCCTCTTAGCACTGCTTTTGCTGTATCTTAGAGGTTTTGTTAGGTTGTGTCACTTTTTTCATTCAGTTCAAAGAATTTTTTTAATTTCCAGCTTGATTTTGATTTCATTATTGACCCAAAGATCATTCAGGAGCGGATTATTTAATGTTGCATGGTTCTAAGAATTCCCTTTGGAGTTGACTTCCAATTTTATTCCACTATGGTCTGAGAGAGTACTTGATATAATTTTGATTTTCTTAAATTTATTGAGACTTGTTTTGTGGCCTATCATATGGTCTCTATCTTGGAGAATGTTCCATGAATGTTCTGATGAATAGAATGTATATTCTGCAGTTGTTGGGTAGAATGTTCTGTAAATACCTGTTAAGTCCATTTGTTCTAGGGTATAAGTCCATTGTTTCTATGTTGACTTACTGTATTGAAGTCCCCCACTATGAGATGAGATTCTATTTTTGTGTATTTCAAGGTTTTGCTCTAAGATTTAGAACTCCTTTTAGCAGTTTTTGTAAACTATGCTGGCTTGGTAGTGGCAAATTCTCTCAGCGTTTGAAAAAGACTTTCATCTTTTCTTCATTTATGAAGCTTAGTTTCACTGGATACAAAATTCTTGGCTGATAATTATTTTGTCAGCTAATAATTATTTAATAAGGCTAAAGATAAGACCTTTATCCCCTCTAGCTTGTAGAGTATCTGCTGTTAATCTGATAGGTTTTTCCTTTACAGGTTACCTGATGCTTTTGCCTCCCAGCTCTTAAGATTTTTTCCTTCATCTTGACTTTAGATAGCCTGATGACTGTGTGTCTAGGTGATGATCTTTTTGTGATGAATTTCCTGGGTGTTCTTTGAGCTTCTTGTATTTGGATGTCTAGATCTCGAGCAAGGCCAGAGAAGTTTTTATTCTTTTGCCTTTGTCTTTGTTGAATTGGGTTAATTCAAGAGCCTTGTCTTTGAGCTCCAAAATTCTTTCTTCTACTTGTTTGGTTCTATTGTTAAAACTTTCCAGTGTATTTTGCATTTCTCTAAATGTGTCTTTCATTTCCAGAAGTCATGATTGTTTTTTATTTATGATATCTATTTCTCTGGAGATTTTTTTCGTCTACATCCTGTTTTGTTTTATTTTTAAATTTAAGTTGGTTTTCATCTTTCTCTGGTGCTTCCTTGAGTAGCTTAATAATTGACCTTCTAAATTCTTTTCTGGCAATTCAAAGATTTATTATTGGTTTGGATCCATTGCTGGTAAGCTAGTATAATCTTTTAGGGGTGGTTATAGAACCTTGTTTTGTCATATTACCTGAATTGTTTTTCTGGTTCCTTCTCGTTTGGGTGGACTATGTCAGAAGAAAGATCTGGGACTCAATGTGTGCTGTTTAAATTCTTTTGTCCCACAGAGTGATCCCTTGGTGTGGTGCTCTCCCCCTTCCCTAGGGGTGGGGCTTTCTGAGAGCTGGACTGCAGTGATTGTTATTGCTCTTCTGGGTCGAGCCACCCAGCAGAGCTACTGGGTTCTAGGCTGGTACTGGAGAGTGTCTGCTAAGAGTCCTGTGATGTGATCTGTCTTCAGGTCTGTATGCCATGGATACTAGCACCTGCTCTAATGGAGGTGGTAGGAAAGGAGTGAAGTGGACTGTGTGAGAGTACTTGGTTGTAGTTTTATTTAGTGTACTGGTTGTCTTGAATGCTAGTTATACTAGCACTGAAGTTATTACATGGACAGACTCAGGACCTCTCTGGTTGGCCAAGATGTTACAGGCAGTAGAATTAGCTGTTATTTTCTGCTTTCTTGGAGCAGGGTTGTTCTGTTGAATTGCTGTAATGGCTTGAATTGGTTGGCCTCCAGCCAGGAGGTGGCACTTTCAAGAGAGTATCAACTGCAGTAGTATAGCGGGGGATATAAGCTTGCCTTACGGTTTCCTGGATAGGTTTTCGGGCTTCTCAGGCAATGAGCAGGGCCCCACGAGTTTTTGTCTTTTGTTTACGGCTACCAGGGCGGTTAGAGAAAGACCATCTGGTGGGGGCAGGGATAGTGTGTCTGAGCTCAGACTCCTTGGGCAGGGCTTGCTGTGGCCTCTGGGCGATGGGAGTGGTGGTTAACAGGCCAATGGAGTTACGTTCTAAGGGAGATTATGGCTGCCTCTGCTGCTTCATACACATCACCAGGGAAATAGGGGAAAGCCGGCAGTGACAGACCACAGCCAGCAAGGCCAGTCTCACTCCTGCAGTGCTTCCCCAACAGCCAACAGAACCAAATTTATATCCATGCCTCCAGTGCACAGGGTGGAGATCTTGCCCTAGACTACAAAACTCCCCGCCGAGAAAGCAAGCAGGGCTGTTAGGCCTTGTCCATCTGCCTGCCACAGCTTCTGTGCTCATATCTGCACTTCCTATTTGTCCCATCCCCCTGCAGATTCTGCCCAGGAAAATTCACGCTCAGTTGAAATCATTACAAAGTTCAGCTGAAAGTCTCCTTCTCCCTATGGTCCTTCCCCAATTCCATTGGCTGCCCTCTCCAAAGACCCCTGTGAGATAGTCAGAAATGGTTTCCCTGGGGACCAGGAGTGCCTACAGGGCTCTTCCTGCTGCTGCTTCTACTTTTATATTTTGTTTGGCTCTCTAAATTCATTTCAGTTCTCCTTCTCCCATGATCTGGATCCTCAGTGAGGATGTGTGCAGAAGTGGACTTTACCCCTCTCACACTGTTTTTTGTTTGTTTGTTTGTTTGTTTGTTTGTTTTGAAACGGAGTCTCGCTGTCAGGCAGGCTGGAGTGCAGTGCATGCGATCTTGGCTCACTGCAACTTCCACCTCCCAGGTTCAAGCAACTCTTCTGCCTCAGCCTCCTGAGTAGCTGGGACTACAGGTGCACACCACCATGCCTGGCTAATTTTTGTATTTTTAGTAGAGACAGGGTTTCACCATGTTGGCCAGGCTAGTGTTGAACTCCTGACCTCAAGTGATCCACCCACCTCGGCCTCCCATAGTGCTGGGATTACAGGCATGAGCCACCACACCCAGCCACCCTCTCACACTTTGGACCTTGAGAGCTTGTTTGGAGGTTCTAGCAGGGGAGCACATTTACTCGTATACCCTTGACTGAAGACCGATTCTCCTCTTATCAGGAATGGTTGTCCTCTTCGACCAAGCACACAGCTTCGGGAGCCCTCTCACACTTTGGGCACTCAATTTTTCTGCTGTCTTGTGGATTTTGCAGCAGCAAGCCACTTCTTTCAAAGGATCTGTTAATTCTTTTGTTTTTTCTGGTATGTTCCTGTGATAGTTCTTGGAGCCAAAGTTCACTATGTGAGTCTCCACATGCTGTTCTGTCTGTCTGAGTGGCAAATTAGTCCTGCCTCCTATCTGCCACTTTCCCCTTAAATCAGTCTCATTTTTGTAAAGAAAAAAGTTGAGATGTATAGTATGTATCACATGCACAAATATAGAAAGTATGCTAAACATGGTTTACGTAAGTGCTTTAAATTTTTTCTCTTTATGTTTTTCGGTATTTTGTCGATTTTTACAAGTATATAT
This sequence comes from Homo sapiens, assembly GCF_000001405.40. Taxonomy (NCBI): domain Eukaryota; kingdom Metazoa; phylum Chordata; class Mammalia; order Primates; family Hominidae; genus Homo; species Homo sapiens. The sequence goes on from NC_000001.11 coordinate 212,100,045, forward strand.
TTTATAATGGGATAGTTGGGAGGTTGGTGACTTGGAAAAGAGAAAGGAAAATGATAAAAGGGTGTGGTTGGAATCAAGTGATGTATACCTACTTACTGGCAAATTGACCCTTAGATGATTAGGTTAGCTATGATTTTTCTTGATGAGAATTTAGGGACTTTGTATGGCTTTCACTTCTGATCTTCATGATCCTCTCCTCTTTTTCAGTAACAGTAACGAGTAGCCAGAGTACTCCTGCCAAAGCCCCCAGGGCAAAGTGCAATCCATCCAATTCTTCCCCGTCATCCGCAGCTTGTGCCCCAAGCTGTGCTGGAGACCTCCCTCTTCCTTCAAATACTCCTACGTTCTCTATTAAAACCTCTCCTGCCAAGGCCCGGTCTCCCATCAACAGAAGAGGCTCTGTCTCCTCCGTCTCTCCCAAGCCACCTTCATCTTTCAAGATGTCGATTAGAAACTGGGTGACCCGAACACCTTCCTCATCACCACCCATCACTCCACCTGCTTCGGAGACCAAGATCATGTCTCCGAGAAAAGCCCTTATTCCTGTGAGCCAGAAGTCATCCCAAGCAGAGGCTTGCTCTGAGTCTAGAAATAGAGTAAAGAGGAGGCTAGACTCAAGCTGTCTGGAGAGTGTGAAACAAAAGTGTGTGAAGAGTTGTAACTGTGTGACTGAGCTTGATGGCCAAGTTGAAAATCTTCATTTGGATCTGTGCTGCCTTGCTGGTAACCAGGAAGACCTTAGTAAGGACTCTCTAGGTCCTACCAAATCAAGCAAAATTGAAGGAGCTGGTACCAGTATCTCAGAGCCTCCGTCTCCTATCAGTCCGTATGCTTCAGAAAGCTGTGGAACGCTACCTCTTCCTTTGAGACCTTGTGGAGAAGGGTCTGAAATGGTAGGCAAAGAGAATAGTTCCCCAGAGAATAAAAACTGGTTGTTGGCCATGGCAGCCAAACGGAAGGCTGAGAATCCATCTCCACGAAGTCCGTCATCCCAGACACCCAATTCCAGGAGACAGAGCGGAAAGAAATTGCCAAGCCCGGTAAGTCAGCAGTGGTGGGAAGATACATTTCCTAACTTAAAAGGGGCCAGACACCCAGATGTCTCAAGTCAGGATGCTTTTTTTTTTTTTTAAAGAAAGAAATCTATTTATTCCTAGTGCTGCCAAATTCAGCACATAAATACAAAACAAATTTTGCATGGGCCATATTTTTAGTAAAAATGTTTTATGCTAAGAAACTATTTTTGTTTGTCTGAAATTCAAATGTAACTGAATGTGCTGTATTTTATCTGGCAACTCTACTTACTCCCATTAAAATCCCTCCTGTCAGGGTCCATACTCCTCAGCCCTGTTGCCTGATTGACCAAAGCCTTCATCATGCTCCAGGATATCAATTCAAAAATATCTCCCCTCTCCTGTTAGACAGTATGCCATCCTCTTTTTATAGATAAAGCTGTTGTTCATGGGAAAGTTGCCAACATCCATAAGTAGATTTCCAGTTTGTAATTCCATTTTGTGATTATTTAAAATACAGTGAAACTTAGATACTTACAAAACAATTTGAGTGCAAAATCTTTCTAGATTTTTATGACTTCTCCACAATCTTTTATAATCATTTTGCCACACCACAGTAATACTTTTGACACCTATATCTATTCTTTTTAACATTCAGTGTAGTGTCACTTATCTTTTTAGGACTCATTTCATTGACTGACTTAATATTTAAATTAGATAATATCAGTCATCAGTGATTGATGGCAGAAATAGGTTTGTGAACCTTGAAAAACAAGATTCATTACAGTGGTGGAGGCAGAAGTAGCTGAGTGCATTGGGTGAGCTATGGGCACCAGTCAGAGAGAATAAAAAGCTTCTGTTGTTTGCATGTGAAGGGGAGATGGGTTAAGGAAGTTTCCACTGTACTTCACAGTAGCTCTTGTGGTGGCGGGATGATTGAAATAGAATCCAGAATCATGATCAGCATCATCTGCCATTTTAAAGGGCAGAAGCTAGATAACCAACCTTAGGCCAGTTTTAGTTTAAAAAGTGTTCATAACCCCGACCTGCTCTCATGAAGACCTATCCCATAATTTTAGAAAAATAAACTGATAGATTTTAAAGACAACTTAGTACACAAACTGCAATCAAGACCTTGCTGTAGAAAGTGGAGAAAAAAGACAGTTATAAGGAATCTTTCCTTCTCTCAAAATTATGACTGCTCTTTATCCCTAGCCAAAATTTCTATTTTTTTTTTCAAGGGAGCTGGTCTCAGCTATGTGTTAGCAGAAAAGTAGTTTCAATGAAAAACTATTTTCACTGATACATAAATCTTAAAATCTTTAAAAAGTAGAAACAGTGTGCTGGTCTTGTAATTTATTTGAAGCTAACATTTCTTAAAAATTTTTTACCTTTATATGATGATAATGTCAACCTTCAGAAGAGAGTAACATCTTCCATTTGAATACCTATCTTGTTTATAAATTGGGGGGGCTGATTTATTCATTTATTTCAAAAAGGATAGTAATTGTAACTTATTTGTTTCTTATTAGGAGACTTAGCTAGTAAATGTTTTCTATTCACATAAGAAGTCTATGCCTTCTTTCCCTACATATCATCTGTTAAGTTTTTACTATAGTCAGTACAAATCAGCCAAAAGAGACATTGCCATTGAAAGTATTTGGAGCTGAAAGCAGGCTAAACAATGAAATTTCTGGCAGCCTAATTTAAGGTATGCCTTAGTAATAACTTAGTAACAGTTGAACTTCAAGGAAATCTCTGAAATCTAAACTTTCTTCTTCTAGGTCACCATCACGCCCAGCTCCATGAGGAAAATCTGCACATACTTCCATAGAAAGTCCCAGGAGGACTTCTGTGGTCCTGAACACTCAACAGAATTATAGATTCTAATCTGAGTGAGTTACTGAGCTTTGGTCCACTAAAACAAGCTGAGCTTTGGTCCACTAAAACAAGATGAAAAATACAAGAGTGACTCTATAACTCTGGTCTTTAAGAAAGCTGCCTTTTCATTTTTAGACAAAATCTTTTCAACGCTGAAATGTACCTAATCTGGTTCTACTACCATAATGTATATGCAGCTTCCCGAGGATGAATGCTGTGTTTAAATTTCATAAAGTAAATTTGTCACTCTAGCATTTTGAATGAATAGTCTTCACTTTTTAAATTATTCATCTTCTCTATAATAATGACATCCCAGTTCATGGAGGCAAAAAACAAGTTTCTTGTTATCCTGAAACTTTCTATGCTCAGTGGAAAGTATCTGCCAGCCACAGCATGAGGCCTGTGAAGGCTGACTGAGAAATCCTCTGCTGAAGACCCCTGGTTCTGTTCTGCCTCCAACATGTATAATTTTATTTGAAATACATAATCTTTTCACTATGCTTTTGTGGGGTTTTTTTTAAGTATGTGTAAAAATGTGATGCTCAGATAAGTACATTTATATCAGTTCAGTGTTAAAATGCAGTCTCTTGAGTTAAAGTCATCTTTATTTTAAATGCAGTGATAAATGTCAACTCTTCGGAGAAACTAGGAGAACAACAACAGAAAGCTGTGTTTGTCTTTTTTCTCTCAAATATATCTCCCGTATGAGATTTCAGGTCCCCATGTTTTCACCAAGCAATCTGCTATGTCAGCCAACCCAACATCACTTTCTACAGGAGGTTATGATTTTTGCCATTTACTAGAGGAAGATGTTTTATGAAATCAATTTGGGGTTTGAATTCAGGTGCAGTCATCAGTTCTTTAGGGGCTGCAATGTTTTAAAAAAAATAAGTCATCAGATTTTAAGAAAAAAGTGATGATTTCTTATTGATATTTTTGTAACAGAATATAGCTCTTAACTGAAAATCCAGAACCAGAAACATAAATCTTGAGTTTCTTTTCATGTACATAAAAAGCAATAGCCTTTTAGTATAGATAGCCCTGAGCCAAAAAGTAATAGAATTTTCTCTAGATATTTAATACAGAGAGTGTATAGACTGACTCTAAGTTAATAATGTGCAAAATATCTTAAACATCCCTCCCCTTATTCAACAATTATGTATCAGTGATCTTGAACCATTGTTTTATATTTTTCACCTTTGTAACCTCATGGAAAGAGGCTTTACATACTTTCTATGTACTATTTACTTAGAAGGGAGCCCCCTTCCAGTCATGAAACTTCATTTGTTTTATCCATATCCCTGAGGACTGTGTAGACTTTATGTCAGTTTTTGTCATTATTTGAAAATCTATTCTGACAACTTTTTAATTCCTTTGATCTTATAAGTTAAAGCTGTAACAACTGAAATTGCATGGATCAAGTAAGCATAGTTTTATCCAGGGAGAAAAATAAAAGGAAGCCATAGAATTGCTCTGGTCAAAACCAAGCACACCATAGCCTTAACTGAATATTTAGGAAATCTGCCTAATCTGCTTATATTTGGTGTTTGTTTTTTGACTGTTGGGCTTTGGGAAGATGTTATTTATGACCAATATCTGCCAGTAACGCTGTTTATCTCACTTGCTTTGAAAGCCAATGGGGGAAAAAAATCCATGAAAAAAAAAAGATTGATAAAGTAGATGATTTTGTTTGTATCCCTACCCATCTCCTGGCAGCCCTACTGAGTGAAATTGGGATACATTTGGCTGTCAGAAATTATACCGAGTCTACTGGGTATAACATGTCTCACTTGGAAAGCTAGTACTTTTAAATGGGTGCCAAAGGTCAACTGTAATGAGATAATTATCCCTGCCTGTGTCCATGTCAGACTTTGAGCTGATCCTGAATAATAAAGCCTTTTACCTTATCTGATGTCCTTTTCTGAGCTTTTTGCATTACCTAGAAGCAGTCTACAAAAAAGAACTATAGTAGTCAAGAATCCCTTCTACTTGTTCATTAAAATGTTTATTCCCAAAGTTATAATCTATTTCAAGCTGAAAGAGCTTTTAATAAAAAACATCTTGCTTGGATCAGACTTTGAGCATTTAAGATGGCTTGGATTACTTGATAAAGCAGGGTGGAGTGATGTAGTTCTTTTTCTAAACAAGTATTTCCAGCACAAACTTTTCCATTTGAATACATTCCAAGCACTATTGCTAGGATCCCGTATTAGAGTTTGCTTTTGGCTGTTTCAACACGGGCCCTTAATTAAATTTTGTGAGGATGACTGATTAGTGTCTTCAAATGTCTCTTCATCTGGACTGCACATTTAACTGATGTTGGATCAAGACCATGTGTAGCTACTCTTGTGTTGAGGGTCAGCCCATTATCCCCATCCCCAGCCCTAACAGCTTAAAACAGCTTTAACTCCCATCTTGAAATTAGCCTATGGCCATGTTCATAACATAGGTAGTGTGTGGGTTCAACAAATGCTTTTTGAGAGCCTGTCATAGCCAACACACTACTGCTCTTAAGTCTGTTTTTCTGCTTTTCCTAGTCCCTAGTTCCTTTTACATTGCTCTTAAAGCAAAGGCCAAGTAGTCTAACAGAGAAAAATAAATTCCACAACTAAGATAGTGTGGGCAACATTTTACAAATGTGTGTCAGAAGACAGACTGAGTGAAAACATTGTACTAGAAAAACTGAGTTAATTTCCTCCCTATGGCAATTCAACACAAGTGGTTTCTGCTTCATAATTCCATAAAGGGCTAAATGTAGGCCCAGTTGAGCTCTTGCAGTAGATCTCATTGCTTCTCACACAGGTCTTCACAGGGAATTCTTTGCCTGCCCTAGGTTTGGATCATGCCACATTACCAATTAACCCATTACTCATAAAATTCTCAGGGATTATGGTAAAAAAATTGGATTATGCATCAGTTCTTTAGATATTGGTTGGAAGTTATAGGCAGGCTGAACACATTTTGTTGGACTTGAGTTAAGTTTAATGCTTTGATGCCTGGAATACGACCCCAGCTTGTTATAAGTTAACCATTTTGTTCCCTAAAGTGGTAGCAAAACCTGTTTTATTTCTGAGCTGTGTTTGAGTGCAAGCTAAAAAGTGTAGGGGTTGTTAAGAAATGATATAAGATAAATTCAGCCTTTAAAAAAGAAATCACCTGAGCATATTAAGCAGCTTGTTTATATTGGTATGCCTGCAGCAAGCATATACATCACAAATGAGAGATATTGTGTTATTAAAGAATAGGCTTACTTGATCCCCAAAGTTCATCCCTTGCTAAGCCAGGAAAGAGGATTTTTAGGGTATGCAACCAGGTTCTTCACTTTGAATGTAAAAGGTTTAATATTCCATTTGTACTCCATTTCTCTTTAATTTCCTTAACTTGCCACATGCCCCTTTGTTTTGACATTCTGAATAGTTTATATTCAAGCCATTTTGTGAAATATGAATAGCACATTTCAAAATGCCTTTGATTGGAAGGCGTTTAAGTCAGCCAACATTTACATATCACCTGGGTGCCAAGCCCTGTGTGTGAGGCACCTGGTCTGCAAAGAGTTCCTTTCTTTATTTTCAGTTGCCAAAGGAGTCACTTTAATACTTCAGTAGGCCAGAGTCAGCATTTGAGAGAAACAGCAAAGATCAGATTTCAAGTCCTTTGAGTAAAGTTGTTTGTAATCAGCTATTATGTAGCAAGTACTGTCTAGAAGCCTACTTTTCCTCCAGGAACTTAATTCAGCAGCTGCTTAGAACTTTTAACTTCTCAAAGTAAAATACTTTTTGGATACATGTTTTTATTATATTCCTTATAAGGTTATAAATAATGGTTGAAAACATGATCCCTAGTGCCACACTGTCTAGCTTTAAATCCAAGCCCTAACTGTGTCCGTGGACAAGTTACTTAACCCTTCTGTGAATGAGTTTCCTACCTTAAAATGGAATTATGTGGGGCCGGACACAGTGGCTTATGCCTGTAATCCCAGCACTTTGGGAGGCCGAGGCGGGCAGATCACAAGGTCAGGCAATTGAGACCACCCTGGCCAACATGGTGAAACCCCATCTCTACTAAAAATACAAAAATTAGCTGGGCTTGGTGGTTCACGCCTGTAATCCCAGCCACTCGGGAGGCTGAGGCAGGAGAATCGCTTGAACCAGGGAGTCAAGTGGTTGCAGTGAGCCGAGATTGTGCCACTGCACTCCAGCCTGATGACAGAGCGAGACTCCGTCTAAAAAAAAAAAAAAAAAAGGATTTTTGTGGTTATTACATGTAAAGCTCTTAGGACAGTGCCTGGCACATAATACCTAATGTTTTATTAAACAGTTGCTGTTAGCTGTTAAGTATGGAGGGCAAGAGTTATTATCTATATTCGATACATGGACATAAAAGTTCAGCTCATTCCTGTTCCCTTTCCACTAACAGCTGCAGTCTGCAAAGGTCTTCACAAATCAGAATCAACTGGTAATTAAAAAAAAAACAACAAAAGCATGAATGTTGCCTGGACCTCCCAGTCCCAGCACTTTTCAAAAGGAGCAAGTAGGTCTGTGGGGAAAAATCAAGTTTGAAATTCATGACTTTGTCTCGCCAGGTACACATGAAAATTACGGAGATTATTTCATATGTGGCCTGTAGCCACTGTTCAAAGAGACCATAATCTTCAAATCTATATCCTGAACTCTTAAACAAACCAAAGCCTTTGCTCACACAAAGCCCACCCTCCCATTTCCTGACTGCTGCCCCCAGCTCTGCTACATTGTTTAAGATGTGATCACCTTTAGAGAGGAAGCTGCAGCTGCTGGTCTTTAGAGCCAAGAGCCAACTCGTACTTGCTTGTTGGGCTATTGTGCTCTCTTGCTTATGAGCAGACAAATAAAATAGGTAAAGTTCAAAACAAGCCATGTTGCTGTCTGTTAGTAGTAGGATACAAAAGAAGATTCAAACATTTCATTGAAGTATAATGAAGACTCTAGATTCTTTGCTCTCACTTGATGAGATTCTTCCCCAGGCTACTCTGTTTTTGATGCCAATAAAACTTGTCATTCTCACATCAGTGTGAAAATACCAGCCCTGAAAGTTAGCTTGATATTTGGGTGTATAAATCCAACATTGGGGTTTCAGCTGTCATCTAAGCATTGAATTTATGCTGCCACTGATGCTATTAGGGACCCTAGTTTCCAATTTACAGGAACTTAAGGAATGTGGTATGCTTTTATTAGAAGCTGGTATCTGCTCCTGCAAATAGTCCTGCCACCTTGTATCCCCTTCATGGGTTTGTGCCAGTTATCAATTCAAATGAATATGTTAAGAGCTGGGTTGTTTTTTTCTTGATAACAACCTTGCTTACTTCTGAAGTCAAGGTCTAAAAGTAATTATACAAATCAACCCTTTATCAATCTATTACCACATGATATATGTTACTGAAACAAAACTAAGCCATCTGGCCTTGCTATGTTGACATGGAGTTAGCAAATATTGTTATACCACGTCACTTGATAATCATTCAGGATGACTGTTAATTTCTCTTTCACCTTTCCCCCATCTTCTGCAATATATTCAAACACAATTTTCCAAGAATTATTTGAAAAGAAGCATAAGGAGGATTTATTAAATGTAACTGAAATAACTTATTAGTGGTTCAGGAACTGAGAAGTTAAAATCCAGTGGGCATTGTTGCCTCTATAAGAGGCAACATTCAGCCCAACCGTTAATGTCAAGTTGGAAATGCTGCTTCCTCAAAAGCCGTTTTGGATTTAGACAGTTTTATATGGGAGTAAGAGACTCAGAGTCCAAAAATCAATGTCTTCACAAAGAGGAAGACAAGTTAAAACGAACATTAAGATCTTGAGCGTGATTATGATAAACACTTCCCAACTCCCTAATTAGGTAATGAGGTATTGGCCTTGGAGTGCTGCACCTGTAATTAAGTATCTGGCTTTGGAAAACTCTCCTAAAACCAAGAAGTGTAAGTGACAGAGTCTGAAGTTATACACGGAAAGCCTGCAGGATAAGGAAAATTATAATGATTAGGAATAGTTTCTGTTCCAGTCAACTCTCCTGTACAATAAATTGCACAAAGAGAGGATGCTGTTTAGAGCAGCTTGTTAATTTGAGTTATCCTGTTGTGTCCTCTTGCCTTCCTGTTTACGTTGACAGCATTTCTAAGCCCATTTATATTCTCCCTTTTTATGTCATTTTGGCCACTGGACTCATTTGAGTAGTGCATGAAGCCAGGATTGTGGGTTTCATTCCTAAATGGGCCAATTCATTTCACTGTGTATTCTGTGGCCACAGGCAGCATCTCACATGCCTGCGCTAGCCAGCCACTCCACAAAGAGGAGTGGACAGAGTTTAGACTTAGTATAAACACTAGATGGAAACTCATAGTAGGTATCCTCACTACACAACCTGAAGGCATTCTCAATGCTGCCTGTCTTTCCTCTTCCTGCCTGAAGACCAAATGTATAAACCTCTTATAATCAAAGTTGTAGATTGTTTCATTTAGTGCACACTCCTATACCCACTTGTAACCCTATAAATGGGTATAATTATTATCCCCATTTTTTTTTCAGATAAGGAAACTAAAACACAAGTTAAATAACTTGCCCAAGGATATGTAGCAAGTGGCAGCTTGTGGATTTGGTCTGACTCAAAGCCCACAGTCTTAATTCCCATCCTAGAGTGTCTGTCCCCTGGCCCTCCCCATCAATCAAATATGTGCTTTACATTGTCAGTATATTTAAAAGAGAAGAACTCTCAAAATACATTTCCTACTAGAGTAATATATGAAAAAAATACTATTCCTTAGAAGAAACCATTCTTAACTATAGAAGGAAGGGGATATGCAGGACTAGAAGCTAGAATCAGTACTGAGAGTGTTAGAGGAGCACAGGAAGAAGACTGATGAACACAGTGATAGGAAAACAGGAACAAAAGCACAGAAGTTAAAATTAGAAAAAGTGAAGAAAGGCTTTCCCCCAAATATGACGGCAGAGAATGAAGATAAAGATACACATGCCCTATGACCCAACGATTCCACCCTTCTACCCGAGAGAAGCTCACATGCACTGGGACACGTATAAAGATGTTTGTGGCAGCATCGTTTATGCTAGTGAAAGACTGGAAATAATCCAAATGTCCGCAGTAGAATGGATAAACTATGAGATACTCATAACAACAGTATATAACAATGAGATGGAAAAGAATGAACTAGCTACACAACAATGCCAATGAATGGTTAGAATGTTGAGCAAAAGAAGCAAGAAAGAGGAATGTATACATACAGTATGATTGCATTTAGATCAAGTGTTAACAGAAGACAGGAAATACTAGTATTGAGATATACACATGGGTGGTAAACAGCAAAACAAAATCATGATTTGATTATTATAATGAAACAGTAGTTCCCTCTGGAGGGTCGTGCTTGGGAAGTAACATGAAGGACTTCCTAGGTTATGGCAAGGTTCTGTCTCTTGCCCTGGTTAGTGATTATATGGGTGTTTGCTCTATAATTATATCTTGCACTTATGTTTTATACATTTTTCTATGTATGTTTTATGATTCATGATGTTTTTAAAGGGTTTTTTTTAAAAGGAATGAAGATCAGATAGTTCTCTAGAGAAGATAGACAAGAGGTGGGCATTGGGGAGGCCTAGATAGACTTGCTAACAGTTCAAAGGGAATAAGCTACTGGAGTGAGACTGTGGGTCTTCTTGATACTTTCTAAGGAAAACAGGAGAATCCTCTGTTCCCTCAAAGCAGAAGGATAAACTAAGTTGCCTCTCCATGTACTGTCAGGATTCAGTATATTCATTCAGTTTAAAAGAAAAGAATTGTCCGTTCAGCAAAGTGTGCTGTGGCTCAAGCATGGGGTTTGGGATTTTCATAGCTGGGACTGAGCCAGAAGACAGCAAGGGGTGGCCAACAGAGGGAGGTCCTGCAGCGTTGCCAGCACTGCAGCATTTGGCAGCCTGTTAAAGTTCCACATCATATGCATTTCCTCCTTTCTCCTTCTTCCCCAGTCTTGTATTTTCTTTCTCTCCTCAAGGTCCACCATCAAATCAATGCAGAAATGGGGCATAGAAATCAAATTCTTATTTTAAAGATACAGAGGGTCGCAAAGCTAGATAGTGGCAGAATCCGTGCTGGTATCCTACAGTTTTTGTACCCAGTCCTCTTGATCTATTAGCCATTATCCTCAATACTTTGCTATTCTGGTATTTTGAATATTTTGAATACCTGAATACTTTGCTATTCAAAATGTTTCCTCTGCCTGGAATAGTTTTCCCACCTTATGACTACCTTTAAGCCCCCATTTTTAAAGATCCAGTTCAATCCCTCCACCACTTCCTGTAGGAATTCTTCACAGATTTTCCTAATATAGCTTCCTTCCACTCAGCCCCATAGTGTCTGGTTTCAACACTCTGACAGTGCTTAGCACTTTGTCTTAGAATTATTTCTATATTTCCTCCACTAGACTAGTCTCCTCCATATCCAACTGGTCTTACTCATCTCTCTATACCCAGTATTGTGCTGGAACTGGCTTATACTCATGACAGCCAATTATTAAATATTCAGGGATTTTGTGAGCTGTTAAAGTGTTAGTAGCCTGATACTCAGTAGTAAATACTCAGTCATGGCAAGAGTATTTACACTATGGAAGGTACAAATCAGGGTCTTTTTTATTTTTTTGTGGAGAGCTAGCTTACCAGCACATCACTGCACATACCCTATCACCACCTGCCTGCCCCTGTGCTTGCTGTAGTGCTTGGCATAGTGGTTGTAAGATGCATGAAGAAGAAAGGCAACCAGTGAAAGTGCAGATCAAAAGGAAAGAGAATTCAAATAGCGTCAGCTCAGGAGCCCAGGGAAGAGAAGTTTCTGAGAAGTGGGTGTTCACTGCTGCAGAGAGGTTGATGAAGATAACTTAAATAAGGCTAAATTAAGCACATCTTTGTCCTTCTCAAGAGCTACTTCAGTAGGATGATAGATATGAAAGATGGCTGGGAATGAAAAAAATACAGGTGGCTAGGAAATGAGCAGTAGATATAAACTCCTTTCAAGACAAGAGAAGGAGTCTTGTTAAACAGCTATTTGCTGAACATCTACTATGTGTCAGGCATTGCATTAAACAAAGACAATACATGGGCCCATCCTCATCTTGCTCCTGGACTCACAGGGCAGACAAACACAAGAACACAATGATAAGTGCTCTGAAGGCATGATCTGGGGGCTGTTGGAGCACGTTAAAATGAGCCTGGGGATCCCAGGAAGTTTGCATACAGAAGCCAACTCTGAGCTTAACTCTGGAGAAAAACAAATTTTCCAGATATTTAAGTGAAGAATTATCCTAGCAAAGGAAATCGCACAATAGCATGAACAGAGGTTTGAGGACATGAGAAAGAATGTCCTGTCTGGGGAACTCTAAGTTATTCCAGTTTCCCTGGTGGCTGCAGCAGAGAGAACATGTAAAGAACAGCAGGAGATGAGACTGTGGAGGCAAGCAGGGGTAGGGCACAAAGGCCTGGCATTGCCACCATACTGAGTTTGGGCTTTATCTTGAGGCACTAGACAACTACTGAATGACCAAGCAGGGGACAAGCACAATCAGATTTTTATTTTAGAAAAGTGGTTCTGTAGTAATGTAAAGGGTAGATTGCAAAGGAACCAGACATTAGGCAGGCAACCCAGTTAGGAGATGTATTAGTCTGTTCTCACACTGCTAATAAAGACATACCCGAGACTGGGTAATTTATAAAGGAAAGAGGTTCAATTGACTCACGGTTCCACATGACTGAGGAGGCCTCACAATCATGGCAGAAGGCAAATGAGGAGCAAGGTCACGCCTTACATGGCGGCAGGCAAGACAGCATATGCAAGGGAACTCCCCTTTATAAAACCATCAGATCTCGTGAGACTTATTAATTATCACGAGAACAGCACAGGAAAGACCCACCCCCATGATTCATTTACCTCCCACTGGGTCTCTCCCACGTCATGTGGGAATTATGGGAGCTACAATTCAAGATGAGATTTGCGTGGGGTCACAGCCAAACCATATCAGGAGGTGATTGTAGTGATCCATGCAGTAAGGAAGGTGGGCCTGAAACAGAATAATGGTGCACATGAGAGGATGTTACTGATTTGAGAGATGCTCCTGAAATGGCAAACTAAAGTCTTCTTAGGTGGTTATATGAGAGAGGAACCTGAAATGAGTCCCAGGATCCTGGCACCAGTTAGTGGGTAGATGGTGTCCTTTGGAGGAATGGGATATATTAATAGTAGAAATGACCAGATTATGGGAGGAAATTATTTCCCTTGTAGACACCTGTGGGACAGCCAGTGGAGATGCCCTTTAGGTAGTTGTATGTACAGGACTAGAACTCAGGAGAGGGGTCTGGGGTGGGAAGAATTTAGGAGTATTAGGTGTGAAAAGAATAGTTAAAGTGGAGTTTATAGAGAAGATTGTCCAGGGAGATTGTAGCACAGCAGTTCTCAAACTTGAGCAAACACCCCACCAGTTTTTTGTTTTTTGTTTTTATCTGGAGGTCTGTGCTGGGGCCTGAAAATGTGCATTTCTAACAAGTTCCCAAGCGGTGCTGATGCTGCTGGTCTAGGGACCACACTTCGGAACCATTAGTGTGGAGAAAGGCCAGCATTTAAGGGTGATTAGAGAAAGAGCTGACAGGTGACTGAGAAGCTATTTTAGGGGGAGAGAGTCCAGGACAGAGTTTCAAGGAGTAAAACAGTAAAGTCAAGCAGGATGAAGCACAAATAATGTCAATTGCTTTTGATGATCTGGAAGGTAAGACTGGAGCCAAGTGGCAGGGTCAGGGAATGGGAGAGAGCAAGTGCAGTTTACATTTCCAGAGAGTTTGGCTGAGAAGTGAGAAGAACAGACACTGAGAGGGTATGGAGGGGTTCATGGTCAAGAAAGGACTTGGGTATGGGAAACATTAGATCAGTTCATGGGCTAGGAGAAAGCAGGCGAGAAAGGAAGGTTTTAAAGACCCAGATAACAATGAGGGGTTAACAAGGGAAGCAGGAAGGAAAGGGACTTTGCCTTAAGCAGGAGGAGGAGCCCCACCTGTGAGGCCAGAGGGGCCGCTGAGGATGCCAGGAAAGGCCAGAAGAATCTAGGAGGGTTTGGAAGAATAGGTACCCTGCACCAAGTTTATAATGTTTGTAGGCAGAAGGGAAGGAGCCAGCCAGAGGCAGGGCCCATGCTATGGGAGAGGTGAAGCAGTAGTTCAGGGTCCCAGAAATGGAGGCTTGGGAGGGATGGCATCAGGAACAGAGATTGGCAAAGAGATAATTTAGAAAGTGCCCAAAAATGCAGTTGAAGTTATCACAGTGTTATGTATAATCTTGGAAAAATAGAAACAGCTTAAATGTTTCTGTTACCAACAAAGCCAGTGCCCCAAAAATGGGATCTTTCCCTGTTTGATGCTACAAAGCCAATACACAAAACCAAAAGTGAACATCTAGCAGTGCAGGCTTTATTCAATGGCCATGGAATTTAAGAAGTGGGAGTTTGACTCATAAAACAATTTATCAGCTTGTGAGAGCTGGAAAGTCACAGATACAGGTTATATATATATATATATAGATATAAATTTTTTTTTTTTTTTTTTTTCTTGAGACAGAGTCTCGCTCTGTCTCCCAGGCTGGAGTGCAGTGGTGCAATCTCGGCTCACCGCAAGCTCCGCCTCCCAGGTTCATGCCATTCTCCTGCCTCAACCTCCCAAGTAGCTGGGACTACAGGTGCCCGCCAGCAAGCCCAGCTAATTTTTTTTATATATTTTTTTTAGTAGAGACAGGGTTTCACTGCATTAGCCAGGGTGGTCTCGATCTCCTGACCTCATGATCTACCTGCCTCGACCTCCCAAAGTGCTGGGATTACAGGCATGAGCCACCGCGCCCGGCCGATACAGGGTATATTTAATGAAAGTTTTGGGCATTAGAAGCCAGGGGAGGAATATTCATGTCTTTTCTGGGAACAGGCGGAAAACTCCTCAAAAAAGGAGTACTGCCTTCCTTTATGTCCTTTTATGGTTTCTTCTGGTCATTGTCATGGTGATTGTCAACTGTCATGGTGCTGTGGGAGTGTCATTTAGTATGGGAATTAGATTATAATGAAGTTAGAGGTACTTCAGAGGTCAAGTGAGTACCATCTTGGATCCCATCAGTCTTAGCCAATTTGGTCATGAGGAAGAATTTTGATCTTAGGCATCAGAGTTAAGATGGGGTAGAAAATCCCCTATTTCATGTAGGTATTACATTGGGTATTGCACTGGATAACACAGTTCCAGCATTCTTAGGGAATGTTTAAATAAATTAAAATATGGCTATTGGAAATTATATTACTGTAATGACTTTAAAAAAATAGGACATAAGTTGTAAAATAGGTATAATATATAATTTTGTTATAAAATGTATAAATCGGCTGGGCATGGTGGCTCATGCCTGTAATTTCAGCACTTTGGGAGGCTAAGGCGGGCAGATCACTTGAGGTCAGGCGTTCAAGACCAGCCTGGCCAACATGGTGAAACCTCGTCTCTACTAAAAAAAATACAAAAATTAGCCAGGCGTGGTGGCAGGCGCCTGTAATCCCAGCTACTTGGGAGGCTGAGGCAAGAGAATCACTTAAACCCGGGAGGTGGAGGTTGCAGTGAGCAGAGATTGCACCACTGCACTCCAGCCTGGGCAATAGAGCGAGACTTTGTCTCTAAATAAATACATAAATGGTATAAATCAGGGGTGTCCAATCTTTTGGCTTCCCTGGGCCACATTGGAAGAAGGATTGTCTTGGGCCACACATAAAATACATTAACACTAACAATAACTGATGAGCTTAAAAAAATAATAATAATAACGTTTTAAGAAAGTTTACAAATTTGTGTTGGTCTACATTCAAAGCCATCCTGGGCCGCATGTGGCCCACGGGTCATGGGTTGGACAAGCTTGGTATAAATTATGTATAGACACATACACTGAAATGTACTGTAATCATAGTAGAAACCACAAGTGATTTTTTTCTTTTGCTTGTCTGTATTTTCCAAATTTTCCACAAGAAGCATATGTTAATACTGTAATTTTAAAAAGTTATTTTGGCTGGGCGCAGTGGCTCACACCTGTAATCCCAGCACTTTGGGAGGCTGAGGTGGGCAAATCACAAGGTCAGGAGTTTGAGACCAGCCTGACCAACATGGTAAAACCCCATCCCTACTAAAAATACAAAAGTTAGCCGGGCATGGTGGCATGCGCCTGTAATCCCAGCTACTCGGGAGGCTGAGGCAGAGAATTGCTTAAATCTGGGAGGCGGAGGTTGCAGTGAGCTGAGATCGTGCCACTGCACTCCAGCCTGGGCGACACAGCGAGACTCCACCTCAAAAAAAAAAAAAAACAAAAAAAAAAACACAGAATATAGGCCAGGCATGGTGGCCCAAGCCTGTAATCCCAGCACTTTGGGAGGCCAAGGTGGGCAGATCACTTAAGGCCAGGAGTTCGAGACCAGCCTGGCCAACATGACAAAACCCGTATCTATTAAAAAAAAAAAAAAATATATATATATATATATATATATATATATATATATATATACACACACACAAAAATAAGCCAGGCATGGTGGCACATGCCTGTAATCCCAGCTCCTCAGGAGGCTGAGCCACAAGAATTGCTTGAACCTGGGAGGTGGAGGATGCAGTGAGCCAAGATCACACCACTGCACTCCAACCTAGGCAACAGAGGGAGAGTCTATCTCAAAAGAATAAAAAACAAACCACAGAATATAGAGTCTTATAATGGAAAATATTTAAATATAACAGATTATATAAGGTGATATAACTATGTTATAGAATATTATACATAGAATACACACATTTCCAACTACTTCTTCATAATAGATTCCTAGAAGTGGAATTACTGTGACAAAGGGTCTGATAAAGGCAATTGCCTTAAAAGTGCCAACTCATTTTTAAGAAACTTGTACTATAAATGAGAAATTTTTGATAGAAATACAAGGGAATTGAGAGAATTCACCCTAAAAGGTCATCTGCAGAGAATGAATTGACAGGAGAGGGGTGTGGGGGTAAGAGAAGGAAAAAGAACTAATATTTACAGTGCCTAATATGAGCCAGGCTCTGTGCAAGGCTCTTTAATAAATATAACCCTAATAAGAGTATCATTATTATTCTCACTTTGCAGATAAAGCAACTAAATCTAGGCCAGTCACAGTGGCTCACACCTGTAATCCCAGCACTTTGGGAGGCCAGGGGGTGGATTACTTGAGGTCAGGAGTTTGAGACCAGCCTGGCCTACATAGTGAAACCCCATCTCTACTAAAAATACAAAAATTGGCCAGGCATGGTGGCACGTGCCTATAATCCCAGCTACTCAGGAGGCTAAGGCGGGAGGATCGCTTGAACCCGGGAGGCGGAGGTTGAAGTGAGCCAAGATCGTGCCACTGTATTCTAGCCTGGGCAACAGAGCAAGACTTCCTTTAAAAAAAGAATGAAAAGAAAGAGAGAGAGGAGAAGAGAGAAAGAAACTAAATCTCTTTGAATTTAAGTGATTTGCCCATGGAAGGTAGTGAGTGGCAGAGGGGGGATTTAAGTCCCAGCTTCCAAAGCCTGTTGACATGGAAATGACTTTAAATAACCATCATGACAATTGTAATGTCTTCTCTCTTCCCTAGAGAATGGGAACTGGGACAGCACAGCCCCGCTGAACAGTGGAGGTATCTGGGGTTGTGGCACATGGGGCCCTGAGGGAAGCTCATCTGGGAGCTAGTTCAGTCAAACACAAGGAAGAAGAGCATGGAAGGTTGCCCTGAGAGTCTAGATGCCCACTGGGACCAGAGAGCAATGATCTCTGGTCTAAATTTACCAGAAGTATTAAAGAGTCAGAAATGAAATATACATACATCCACTGGGTACAGTGGCTCACGCCTGTAATCCCAGCACTTTGGGAGGCCAAAGCGGGCAGATCACGAGGTCAGGAGTTTGAGACCAGCCTGGCCAACATGGTGAAACCCCCGTCTCTACTAAAAATACAAAAATTAGCCGGGCATGGTGATGCGCACCTGTAATCCCAGCTACTCAGGAGGCTGAGGCAGGAGAATCACTTGAACCCGGGAGGCAGAGGTTGCAGTGAGCCAAGATCACCCCACTGCACTCCAGCCTGGGCGACAGAGCAAGACTCCATCT
Source organism: Homo sapiens (assembly GCF_000001405.40). Lineage (NCBI taxonomy): Eukaryota > Metazoa > Chordata > Mammalia > Primates > Hominidae > Homo > Homo sapiens. The sequence continues at coordinate 212,118,139 of NC_000001.11, forward strand.
CAAAAAAGAAAAAAAAAGAAATATACATACGTCCAATTAAGAGTGAACTGGGGATGATTTAAAAGATTGCTAGCTGCAGCAGAAGCTCTGATGAAAGTCAGCAAACTTTCCACAGAGCTCTTAAGAAGAGAACAGTATAAATGTGTCACCCAGATACCATAATCTTGACTCTGCTATCTACTGATCCTGTGACCTTATGCAAGTTACTTCATTTCTCTGAGCCCCAGTGTCCTCACTGAAAAACAGGAAAGGTGATAACAGTGCTTTCTCTGTTGTCATCGGAGGATTAAATAAATTACTATATATGTAAGGTGCCTAGGCAAGTGTCAGTCGTGTACTACATTTTAACTTTTTATGATTATCCTGGGGGTGCTAAAGTCCCTACCTTGAAGTGCAAATGGTGGGGAAGACAGTCAGACACACATGGTCTTAATGGAATGGGTTGTTGAAGGCTCCAACACCACAGAGAGCTTGTACGTTTTCAGCTGCACTCAGCAATCTGGGAGCAGAGCCAAAGAAAACTGAGGTAGGGATTACCCAAGGTGGGAAGTCAGCACAGGCGACCCAGGGAAGAGTGAAAGTATGCGGGACCCATGGGCACCCTGGAAACGGCAGGCCAAGGGATCCAGGCTGGATGTGGAGGGTGCAAGAGATTCTGGGAAGGGTGAGCAGGTGAGGAAGAATTACCTGAAGCAGACAGGTAGAAAGAAGCTAAGATGTTTGTGGTCAGAGTAGGGTTGTAAGAATTTGGTATGATATGGGCCATTCTGATGCCCATGTCCAAAGTATATTTGTTACAGTGAATGACAGGTTGGGCAGATGTTATTTGTAGGTTTTAGAAAACAATAGTGAAGCTAAGATACCAGAAAAGTAAAAAAACAGGTGACAGAAGAGGAAGTTGTCATGAAAGCTACAAGGCAGGTGTTAAGCCACTGAGGAGGGCAAGAGAATGTGCTGGACACCAGCGAACAGTTGAGTGGACTGAGCCAGCAGTAAAACAGGATGATGTGCCCAAGAAGGGTGGGGAAGCCGGGGTCTGGAGAAGCTGGGGTCAGGAGGTTGGAGAATGTCAGCCTGTTCTGACCCTGAGGAAGAGAGATGGGGCCTGGTGGCAGGCCAGGTTTTCATTTAGGATGAGAAGGGGGAAGGAGTGTGTGTGAAAAGAATGGAGGAGGTAAGGAAAGGGTGTTCACCAGATAGCTGGTGCTGTACAGCCCAGGGGCACAGAGACACCTGCAAAAGCCCAGGGATAGTTAGCAGCAAAACGCTGTCCTGGATTACTGCCCTGCCAGGAAGTGAGAGTGAGAGGCCAGGTTATGTCCCCACATAGCCCTGCCAGGGCCCTCCACTGCAGTGCAAGAGACAGGCTTGCAGGACTCAGCCCGAGAAAGAATCTGGGCTCCTGAGTCAAAGCAGCATCCTATTTCTGCTACATTCAGCCTGCTGAGTAATGGCTCCAAAGGCAATGCCAGCAGCTCACAGGGCACAAGGGGAAAGTGAGAAGCAGGGCCTGGCACCTTATTTTTGGAGCTGCTGTCAAAGGCCCAGCCCTCTGGTTCTGTGTGCCTGACACTCAGCGACAGCTCTCAGTGTGAGCTTGGATAACCAGCCCTGCAGGCACTGGCTGAGGTGCCCAGAGAGGCAGGCCCTGTGAGAAAGACGAGTTATGTGACTTCACCGAAGACAGGGAGAATGGAGTCTTTACTTCTTAAAGGAGTTCTTACTTCTTGAAGGAGTCAATCTCATTGGTCATCCCAGCTGGGCTAGTGCCTCAGCCTGAAGTCCCTTAGGAGTGAGCCTTGTATTCTTTCGCTGCTCACTTGTTCTTTGAAAATTACCTAAAATGATGGTGACATGCGGAACACACACAAACTTGAGGTGTTTGTTAAAGTGAGCAGTTTGAGCTAGAGTGGACTTTGAGCTGGTTTCCAAAGGCAGGGATGCCACTCACACTCTCCCAGCCAGTCCTCCATGTGTCCCCAGTGATGCTCCTGGCTACAGCTAGGGCTCAGTCTAATGTGAAAACAGAGTGACATTAGTTGTCGCATAATCACAAAGGTCAAACTTGTGATCCTTTGAGCACAGTGCTCTGGAAACTTGAGCTAACTGGCCCTGAGAACCTTTGAGACCAGCCTTTGGGTTAATTTCTGCTAAACAGATAGAACCAGACTCAGCCCTGGGGATACTCATGGCTCTTGGATAGTAGATCTGGTTCCCTTAAATCTCCAGTCTTCCTTAGACCCATCCAGATCCCCCAAGTCTGGGCTCTAGGTGAGTAGCCATTAATATCTTAATTTCCTATATGCTGACCCACCTTTTTCTTTAAAAGTATATCCTATTGATTCCTTGGGATTTTTTCTTAGGAATTCAATTTCTCTCATATTAAATATGCTTATGAAATAAAGGAATTGGGGCCAGAAACAGTGGCTCACGCCTGTAATCCCAACACTTTGGGAGGCCAAGGCAGGTGGATCACCTGCAGTCGGGAGTTCGAGACCAACATGGAAAAACCCCGTCTCTACTAAAAATACAGAATTAGCCAGGCGTGGTGGCGCATGCCTGTAATCCCAGCTACTCCGGTGGCTGAGGCAGGAGAATTGATTAAAACCAGGAGTAAGAGGTTGCGGTGAGCCAAGATTGCGCCATTGCACTCCAGCCTGGGCAACAAGAGCGAAACTCCGTCTCAAAATAAATAAATAAATAAGTAAAGGAATTGGAATCCAATGAGATTGAGTGGTTTGCACTGAATGGTCATAAGAACTTTATAGCACAGCAGTGATTAGAGCCCCACAGTCTCTGCCTCTGTCAGTTGGCCCATCCTCCACCTGCTGACCTCTGGTTTGTGCCAGTCTAAGACCCAAACCACTTATGACCACAGGTGTGGACCTCTTCTATGTGATAGTCTGGACATCACTGTGTTGGGTAATGGTCATCACTACACTGGGGGAACTTTCTGACAGATTCCTTTCTGTGATAAGCCCAACCGGGTGGAATTCTATTGTGCCCAGAGATAATTGTCCTGCAGTCAGAGCATTCTATGTTTTTCTCTGTCGTTGATTAATCAAGAGGGTTTCAGGCTTCCCTGTAGGCAAAATGTCTAAAGCATAAAAATGGTGAGATCTGTGTTCTGAATTCCATTAGTTTTTCTGTGGCTACAACTGGGTCTTACTCATTTATCAGATTAAATGCAATAGTGTTAGAAACAGGCTGGGTACAGTGGCTCACGCCTGTAATCCCAGCACTTTGGGAGGCCAAGACAGGCAGATCACTTGAGGTCAGGAGTTCAAGACCAGCCTAGCCAACAATGGCAAAACCCCATCTCTGCTAAAAATACAAAAATTAGTCAGCATGGTGGCACGTCCTGTAGTCTCAGCTGCTTGGGAGGTTGAGGCAGGAGAATCACTTGAACCCAGGAGGCAGAGGTTGCAGTGAGCCAGGATCACACCACTGCACTCCAGCCTGGGTGACAGAGCAGGATTTCTTAACGTTTAGAGGTTATCCACATTTTTGAGACTCTTTGAAATCTAAGGACACATACCCCAGAAAAATTCACAAGATGCTTATATACAAAATGTTGCTTATAAGAGTGTGAGGAGGGGCTGCAAGTTTGTAAACCCTATAAAGCCCATTGATGGAGTCTGGGGGATTTGTAGATCTCTGTTTAAAGATGCCTTAAACTACTCTAAGCCAATTCAAGCTCGAGCACAGTGCTGATGGAACAAGGTTGGTAGGTTTGGTCCCTATGTGGTCGAGCTAACTTTGTACACAGGAGCTCTTATCTTAGAACCACAGAGTAATCTCAAAAGTTCAAATCTAGATGGAGGTTTAGCATGTGCTGAGTTCAACCACCTCCTTTTACAGAATAAACAGGAAAAAAAAAGAAGCAAGAGAATATTAGTCATTTACTTGAGGTCACATGGATAATTACTGGCAGGGTCAGGACTAGAGCCTATGTCACACCACATATGCAAAGTAAATGTTCTTTTAATGGTGAATCAGGAATATCAACTTTATATATGGAAGAAAGCACATGATTATAATATCTCCATTTTTAAAGATATGAACAAGATAGGCAGCCAGTATTTACTGTCTATCATACACTTGTTCATTTATTCATTTATCAAAAAAACAAATTTAACGTCCACTATGCAGCAAGCACTATGCTAGGTACTATTTACCATAAGGCTCAAATCTTCCTTAAGAAATTACTAACAAAAGCTGACCAGGCACAGTGGCTCATGCCTATAATCCCAGCACTTTGGGAGGCCGAGGCGGATGGATCACCTGAGGTCAGGAGTTCAAGATCAGCCTGGCCAACATGGCGAAACCTTGTCTCTACTAAAAAAAAAAAATACAAAAATTAGCCAGGCGCAGTGGCTCACACCTGTAATCCCAGCTACTCGGGAGGCTGAGGCAGGAGAATCGCTTGAACCCAGGAGACAGAGATTGTGGTGAGCTGAGATCATGCCACTGCACTCCAGCCTGGGCAACAGAGCAAGACTCTGTGTCAAAAAAAAAAAAAAAGTTACTAACAAAAACAAACACATACAGACACAATTTGGTGCCAGCATCTTCTTCTATGGCAATATATTTATCTCATTCTGCATGGATATAGATTCAGATGCTGTCTACACTCAGGGATCCCATTGGCCACAGCATCAAGATCTCTTCATGTCGTAAATCAAGTTGGAGGGAGACAATTTTAAGGTCCTCTACCATCTATGGCCACTTCAATTTCGGATTCATCTTTGATGGGCATGTGACTCTGGAATAGGGCAACTCTAAAAGTTTGAGTAAATACTAGAACTAAACAACTAAACAAGGGAGCCAGGATTCCACACTAAATCCAGACAAAACTATTTTAGGCACCCACACAAGCTCCCAGCCCTGTTCTGACTCTACCCTGTGTACCCCATCGTCTTGCTGCTTCTTTTCCTCAATCCCTGACATTCTTTGCTTTTGTTTGTTTGTTTGTTTGTTTGTTTTTGAGACAGGGTCTCACTCTGTCATCCGGGCTGTAGTACGGTGGTGTGGTGGTGCAATCATAGCTCACTGCAGCCTCAAACTCCTGGGCTCAAGCGACTCCCTAATAATTGAGCTAACTTTGCACACAGGAGTTCTACAGGCCAGGTGCAGTGGCTCACACCTGTAATCCCAGCATTTTGGGAGGCCAAGGCGGGAAGTTCACTTGAGATCAGGAGTTTGAGACCATCCCGGCCAAAATGGTGAAACCCCGTCTCTACTAAAAATACAAAAAAGGCCAAGTGCAGTGGCTCACCTCACGCCTATAATCCCAGCACTTTGGGAAGCTGAGGTAGGAGGATCACTTGAGGCCAGGAGTTTGAGGCCAGCCTGGCCAACATGCTGAAACCTTGTCTCTATTAAAAATACAAAAATTAGCCAGGCGTAGTGGTAGATGCCTGTAATCCCAGCTACTCAGGAGGCTGAGGCAGGAGAATTGCTTGAACCTGCGAGGTGGAGGTTGCAGTGAGCCGAGTTCCTGCCACTGCACTCCAGCCTGGCCGACAGAGTAAGACTCTGTCTCAAAAAAAAAACAAAAAAAAATTAGCCAGGCGTGGTGATGCACACCTGTAATCCTAACTACTTGGGATGCTGAGGCAGGAGGATCGCTTGAGCCTGAGAGGTGGAGGTTGCAGTGAGTCGAGATCGTGCCACTGCACCACTCCAACCTGGGCAACAGTGAAACTCTGTCTCAAAGAAAAAAAAAAGAGAGAGAAGAGAATAGAACTATAGACACATGCCAATGCACCCAGCTATTTTTTTTTTTTTTTTGGTAGACGTGGGGTCTTGCTATGTTCCTCAGGGCACCATGGCCAACTGA